>NC_000001.11:208639132-208790647 GCF_000001405.40 Homo sapiens
TTACTTCAGATATTTGTTATGGTAAAACACCAGCGGGCCTGACTTCTTTCCACCATCAGTAACTCCTTTTAACTCCAGTAGCAATTCAGCTTTGCTTTATTCCCCATTCATTCAATTTTTCCGTGGTCCTTCTTAAGTCCTCCTTACTTGGCCTTAAGCTGATCAAAAGAGAGATTTCCATTGTATATCAAAGAAAAGTTTAAAATACTTACCCTGTGGTAAGTACTTATCTCTCCCATTCCAGAGAGAAAGTGGCCATAGACAATATGGACATGAACAAGAGTGGTCGTGTAGCAATAAAACTTCACAAAAACAGGCAAAGGGTGCATTTTACCTGAGCCCAGCTCTAGAGAGACTTTATGATCTTCTCCATCACACATCTTCACCCTGGTCCAAACTACCTTTATTCCTTGGGAACGTAACAATAGTTTTCTAATTATTCTCCTTCTGCTTCCATTCTTATCAGCCTCTAATCCTTTCTTCCCACAGCAAAATGAACTTTAAAACATATGTCAGAACATGTCCCTCCCATGTTAAAACCCTTCTGTAGGTTTCCTTTTCAGAAAGCTTTGGATATTCTGCCATCACCTCCCCTCCCCTTGCAGTCCCTATCTTCATCTCTTATTGCTATTCTCTTGGTGCCTCTGTCACATTGCCTTTCTTTCAATCCCTAAAACACTCCAACTTCTTTTCTATCTCTGGGCTTCCCATAGGTGGGGCTCTGCCAAAAAGACTCCTCTCCCTCCTTTGCCTGGATAGCCCTGCTCCTGTTTTAAGTTCTAGAATTGGTGTCATGTCCTAGACTGGCTCCAAACTGAATTTCATCTTCTTTGTTATTCTCTCATATGGCAGCTTGCTTTTTTTTTTTAAAGCACTTTGTGTAATTTGTAATTATAAGTATACCTTTGTTTGTTGGCCACCTGTCTCCACTAATGTAGTAAGCTCTGTGACAACAGAGGCCATGCAGTTTGCCACCATGGACTCGGTGTCCAGAGCAGTGTTGGCACAGGGTAGGCCCAGGGTCTTGATTTTTGATAAATGAATAATTGGGCAAATGTGTAAATCAGGTGATTGTGTGTGATGGGAAAAGGATTCTTTGGGTAGAAACACAACAGGGTGCAAAGTCAACACCAGATCAGTTGCAGATTGTTTTGTGGGAAATGAATGATTCAACAAGAAAAGCTAAGTAAAGACTGAGGTAGGGGCTGGGTAAGAACAAAGGAGTTAGTAGGCAGCAAGTGTATTCACGTGCTATGGACTGAATGTGTCTCCGCAAAAAAAGTGTGTTAAAATCTCACACCTCAATGTGATGGCGTTAGGAGGTGGGGCCACTGCCAGGTGATTAGGATGTGAGGATTGAGCTCTCCTGAATGATATCAGTGCCTTTTAAGAAGAAACACTAGAGAGCTTCCTCTTCTCTTTCTCTCTCCCTCCCCGCTGCACCCCCCTCCACGATGTAAGGATACAAGAAGACAGCCATCTGTAAAAACCAGAAAAAAGGACTTCAACAAGAACCCAACCATACTGGAACCCTAGTGTTGAACTTCCAACCTCCAGAACTATGAGAAAAAAAAGTTTGTTATTTAAGCCACCCAGTCTATGGCACTCTGTTATAGCAGCCTGAACTAAGACAGTGAGAGACAGAAGACCCTTGAAGGCAGAAACCAGATTTCTTTGTTTCTTTTCGTGTCAGTGCATGACAGGATACTCCATAAATCCCAGTGTAAACTCAGAAAATGAAAAGAAAAAGTACTTGATTAAAGGATGAAAGCTTAGAGAGGGTTTTGGGGGGCTCCCGTACAGTTTTAAGGTTCAAAGACAAACACATTAGGAGTCAGGGGACATTCTACTTGGTTAAGTACTAAAGAGAATGGAAAATTAGAAAAAAGAATATGATTGATTCCTTAGGGTAATAGAGATAGAAGATTTGGTTAGTGGAAGTATGGTAGAGAAAGGAATGAAAGACAGAGCTAATTATTTCCCAGTATTCCTTCTTTCTTTCTTCTTTTTAGTAATAGAATCTCAAACCTTTACTTGAGAACACAAATTTTTGTGATACCCCATATTTTCCAGTCTGCTTTGCAGTTAGATATGCCATGTTCCTAAGTTTTGGACAATATATGTGAGTGGAAGTGAAGCATGCATCACCTGAATCTTTACAATGTAACAAGTTTCCCTCTACTCTGCCTTTCCTTCTTTCTGTTCCACTACTGAGTGTGGTGACATCTGGAGTAGCCACCTTGACCCTAACATAGAAGCCTCATGTTGACGATGGAAACACTGGAGCAACAAGCCTTGGTCCCCGTGTGACTCTGTGGAGCAGAGCTGCCTGTCCACCCTGTGCCTCCCACTAAGTTTCTGCCTTATTTAATCTCATGTATTTAAGGTTAGAGCAGGTTAGCCTATTACATAGCTAAAGCAGTGTGGTAGAGCTAGAAAAAAAAGTGCCCTTCTCAGGAGCCATGTAACAAAACTCCCTGGGCCACGAAAGACTGAGAATGTGGTACTAAGTCAATAAACTCAGTTCCAATTTATCTGTCAAACTGGATAACAGTTATTCTAAAGGGGTGTGATTGGTAGATCTTTAGATTAGTAGACCTCTCCACAGTAAGTTCTTATAACTCTAAACATATGGTGAAAATGGATTAATCTTACTGATGACTCATTCCCTGGATGGATATAGAAGGACTAGGATTGGGCTGAGGATGTGAAAAGATAGCAAAAAGAGGACAGTTTCTTCAGTGATTGTGACGAGTGTCTGCCTGGCATTTGTGGATTGCTCTATGTGTGCATTCTATCTGCTCATCTAGGTTTTAAGTTTCCTGAGAGGATGTTTAGGTCATATTTATGTCCTCCATGACATGAAACCCAGTGTTCTGCACATGGTAAGTGCTCAGCAAAAAATTTCTGACTGAATGATTAACCGAAAGTTATTTTCCTCTGTCATGAACACTTCCTTGTTTCCTGTGCTAACCTCACCCCTCTTCTAGCCAAACTATTCTGACATAACCCTAAAAGTAGCAGAAACAGGCACCCAGTAGTTCAGGAAACCCTGGGACTTCCCGGCAAGCTAAAAGCCAAACTAGATTATTGGTATGAATTTGAAAACCAAGAACCTCCAAGGCTTTAGAAATAGAAAAGGATTGAATTTGCATCAGTATCTGTCCCAAACTGTCTCTTGTGAAGAGGGAGAAATGAATGTCAGAGTAGGTAAGACGAGACCCAGAGACCAAGAGATAGAGAACAAGAGGTGGACTGAGAACAGCATATTCCAATTCCCTGAGCTGTCAATCCAACACCTTTCACCCCACATCAAATTCTCTTCCAATTTCTCCTGTTAAATTGCAATCCAAAACACACTGCAGATGTGATATCATTTTCCCTGATAACTGGACCCTCTGAGTTAATGACTTTCCTTCCTTCCAGTGGGGAAACAATTTCATTTTGCTTAATGTAATTATTGTAGTCTTTTTCTGTTCACCACTCTGACCCAAGGAGGCCCAGTTTCAGAGGAGCTCAGCTTCTCCTCTCCAGCTGCACGTGGAAACATTATTATTACTATAAGTCTACATTGTGAATTGTGGCACAACAGTCCACCTCAGCCTAGCCGATGACCTCTCATTGACAATAACCAGGGCTGGCCAGGAGACAAAACTGGTCGGTATGAAGGAGAGGTGTGTGCCTCAGAGGAAAATACAGACAAACTGCTTATGTTCTATGTTGTAACGTGGTTCACCCACAATTAAGTTCCCTGGTCTAGGGACAGAGTCTGGGAAATGTGAGTAGCTTGATTCTGTCATTTACCTTTCCCTGAGCCACAGGTGGGCTCTGGGAAATAGGAGTAGCTTGGTTCTGTCATTTACCTTTCCCTGAGCCACAGGTGGGCTCTGGGACCCTCTTTTCCTTCAGCGCTCCGTACTTCTATCCAGAGGAAATTTAAAGCAGACAAGGGTTAGCAGCGCTGAGCCCCAGCAGCCTTGAAACAATTGAATGGAGACTACTGAGCTCTGTGAAAGATGTGTCGGGCTCCTGCGAGGAGCTCCCTGAAACTAGAGGCAGCCACCTCAGCTTCACTGCTGACTCAGGCGAAGGCTTAGCGCTTGCACCAACATAGTTGATGAATGGGAGTGAGGCTAATTTGGTGTCATTTGTTTCCCATTTCCAAGCCCTCATTAAAATAATCTGCTCTGATTGTCTAGGGAAGTTATTTTTTGCACTTCCTTTCCCTTCACTTTACAATTTCACAGGCAGCAGATTTCTGTGTGGAGGGGTCCAGTCAGCTCTGAGGAGAGATGGGGGAGGATAGGAGGGGCTCAGGAATTGCTGGGAGCACAGCCAGACCTCTTGGCAGCCAGTGAGGTGGGAATCCCAGACCCTCCACTGTCCCCTGGACTGGATCCCTGACAAGCACTGGATTCCTGGTATTGAGGGATTCCACCTCCCTGGGAAATTCCTTTGATTAGAGAGTAAAAATAAAGGGAAATCTTGGTTCTGGTTAGCATATTTCAAAAAGGGTTCTCCGAGGAGGAAATGAAGCATCCCAAAATAGAATTCAGAGCTTCCATTCTCTCAGTCACCCATACGTGATATAGTTTAGCACACGCTGAGATGGTGAAGGGAATGACTGTCCATTTACTCAACTCTTGCTGAGCACTTGCTATGAGACAGGCAGTGTCCAAGATGATAGGGACACAGAGATGAGTGGAACACAGGGCCTATCTCCTTTTCTATCTCAGAGTGTATTCTTGCTCATCTATCTCCATTAATTCAGAATACTTGTCTCTGCTAACAGGCCCGCATTGCCATCTTCACACCCTTTTTGGGGATCCAAGTAATTTCCTGCAGGCTTTGTCTTGACTCACATCTCTGGCCCTCATCATTTTCTTGCCCTTGGGTAGAAATGCTTTGGTTTAGATTTTACTGTTCCAAAGCCAGTCTCTGACTTCTGCTTTTGGCTAGAGCCCAACCAGGCCAGCCCCAGCCCCAGTCCCATTGAGGGTAGCCCTTGAGTAGCAGCCCTAGAAAGTATTACATTCAGCTGGGGAGACAGAATGCCCACGTTTGCATAGATCATTGAAACTGACTGGACAGCACATGCCAGAAGTCTAATGCAGGGCTCTTTCCTGTACTCGCAGTCAGATGTTTGTTCCTGGCCACTCTCTCCGAGTCACAGATGCAGCAGAATCGCCCAGGGTCTCCTGCCCCAGCCAGATTTCCCAGAACCATAGCAGCAATCTCCTTCATTTGGCTTCTGTTTAAACCAGTAATAGGATTTACCCTTGGTTTGCATAACAGAAGAAGAGTTCTTTATTTTTTCTACTATTTATTATGACATATAAATTATGATAATACTGGTTAAACTATTTTTTATTACTCTAAATTGTCACTTACTATTTGCCAGGCTGTATGCAAGGCAATGAAACACTAAAGTCAACAAGGTACAATCACTGCCCTCAAGGAATCTATTAAAAAATGGGCCAAATAGCCCCTTTGGTTTCTGACTGTAAAGGAAGAGTCCTTTACATACAGGGTAGATATTCATGAAAATGTCTTCCTCCTGTAACATCTTTTTTTTTTCATTCTGGTGTCTGAATATCATTGACTCACTCCTGCCTCTTTTCCCCACTCCCTCCCCCAGCAGCTCCCTCCCCCAGCAGCTCCCTCCCCCAGCAGCTCCCTCCCCCAGCAGCTCTCTCTTATCCCAAAGCAGGGATGCCTCTTGCGTTCACGTGTATTACATGGTCTTCAGGCACTTCATGTTTCTACAATCAACATATTTTAAAGTCTTGGGAAAGGTTTTTAATTGGCTGAAATGCTGATTGCCATAACAACTGGCTAATGAACCATCTGGTAGCACATGCAATATTTATTTATGAATTAAACAGCTAGGCACTATGAAGTCTAGTTTCCTCTCAAGGACAGCATGGGGGCCATCTTTGGAGAATGCAAGTTCTCTGCAGGGGTTTGCTTAATGGATCTCCAAAAAGTCAAGAGAAGGGAAATGATGCTTCATTTCAGGGCAGGTGTGTATTCATGTTGAGAGGAAAACAGCAGAGTCATGGGCAATGGGCAGGAAATCCAGAGAGGAGAGGACAGAGCAGGGTTCCAAGAACTAGGAAGTGACCCTCCCTATCTTTTGCCCCTTAAGATGTAAAAAACTCTCAACAGTAATTTACAGCTAATTTGTTCTTCCTAAATTTAAGTAAATTTCCCATTCTAGCTGTGACTGTCAGACATTGAATGTATGGCAAAAAAGTTTTTATTTCCAACTGATGCCAGTCACTATGACTCTCGAATCTAAGGGTTTACTTTTAGGGGATCAGAAACCTTTTGAATATCTAATTCAAGCTATGGACCTTTCCTAGAAAAATAAATATATTCGTATTCACACAAAATATAATTGCAATATCGGGGCCCATACCCAATTGCCTACACCCCAATCTCAGGATTTGAAAATTCCAGGTTCAGATCCTGGGTCACCCCCATGAGTGTTTTAAATATCCACAGGTAATTTAATGACAAGGTGAGCACTTTTTTTTTCCCCATAGTCACTAGATGAACTATTCCAAGATGAATTTAGCAAATATGAAAGTCTAGCACCATGATTGGATCAAAAGGCGATTTCGGTAAAGATTAGCATTGACATTTGAAGGGGTCTTATAGGTAATACTTCTTTGTTTTCACCTGATTTTAAAGCAATTCAAGGACAGATTAGAGGCATGTAAATGGAGACCACAATGCCAGCTTTATTATTTGTTAATATATTTATTGGAAAGTGTGACTTAGGCTTTCCAAGATTGAACCCCAGAATTAAATAGACTTGTCCTCATAAAGGGGGAAGACTGGTGTTAATAGTCAATGCAGTGTCAGGAAAAACTGAAAACTTTAACAGGATCTGGGCATGAGGAGAAACCTAGATCTAGGGCTTTGGGAGCTGACCAAAGAGATTCTTAGAACAAAAGTTTAGGAAAATAAGTTGAGTACTCAAACACACACACACACACACACCACAAAAACAAAAACAAAACACAACCGAAATCAGTGCACCAAGAAGATGGTAACAAACTAGATAGGGCATCAGGGTCTCTCCCTTTTGTGCTGAGGTGGATTTTGACTGTGCATGGGTTTTGGAGCTGTTTGTTCATTGGTTTGTAGTTTTCTTTGCTCTAGGCAACACTTGCAAAGCATATAAACAAAAAGAGAAAAAAATCTCTATACTTGTTGGCTACCTTAAAAATTATCCTCCAGGCCCCCATGAAACTGGACAGCACAGGATTCTTCAGACTCTTTCTTTACTTTCTTTCTTTTCCCCGCCTTCCTCCCTCCATTATTCCTCTCTCCAGTCCCTCCCTCCCTCCCTGCCCTCCTTCCTGTCTTTCTGTCTTTCTTTCTTTCTCTTTCTTTTTCTTTTCTCTTTCTTTCTTTTTCTTTCTTTTCTTTCTTTCTTTCTTTTTCTTTCTTTCTTCCTTTCTTCCTTTCTTTTCTTTCTCTTTCTCTTTTTTCCTTTCTTTCTTTTCTTTCTTTCTCTCTTCTTTCTTTTCTTTCTTTCTTTCTCTCCCCTCCCCTCCCATCCTCTCTTCCTTCCTTCCTTTTCTTCTTTCTCTCTCATTCTCTCTCTTTCTTTCTTTCCTTCTTTGTTTCTCTCTTTCTTCTTTCCTTCTCTTTCTTTCTTCTTTTTTTTTTTTTTGACAGAGTCCGAGGCTGGAGTGCACTGGCATGATCTCAGCTCACTGCAACCTCTGCCTCCCAGGTTCAAGTAACTCTTGTGCCTCAGCGTCCCAAGTAGCTGGGATTACAGGTGCATGCCACCACACCTGGCTAATTTTTGTATTTTTAGTAGAGGTGGGTTTTCACCATGTTGGCCAGGCTGATCTCAAACTCCTGGCCTCATGTGACCCACCTACCTCGGCCTCCCAAAATGCTAGGATTACAGGTGTGAGCCAATGCACCGAACCTGCGTCTTTCTTTCCTTTTTTCTTTCTTTCTCTTTATTTCTTTCCTTCTTTCTTTTCTCTTTCTTTCTCTCTTTCTTTCTCTCTTCCCTTTTTTCCTTCCCTCCCTCCCCTCTCCCTTCCCCTTCCCCCTCCCTCTCTCCCTCCCTCCTTTCTTTTCCTTCCTTCCTTCTTTCCTTCCTTTCTTTCCTTCCTTCTTTCCTTCCTTTCTTTCCTTCCTTCCTTCTTTCCTTCCTTTCTTCCCCCTTCCCTCCCTCCCTCCTTCCCCCTCCTTCTCTTTCTTCCTTTCTTTCTTTTTCTTTCTTCTTTCTTTCTTCCTTCTCTCTCTCTCCTTTCTTTCCTTTCTTTCTTTCTTTCTTTCTTTCTTTCTTTCTTTCTTTCTTTCTTTCTTTCTTTCTTTCTTTCTTTCTTTCTTTTCTTTCTTTTCTTTCTTTTCTTTTCTTTCTTCACTTGGTCTACCTGCCTGACAGCCTTCCTTTCTTGGTTCTTTCTTTTTCTTTCCTTCTTTCTTTTTTCTTTCTTTTCTCTCTCTCCCTCTTCCTACACAACACACACACACACACACACACACACACACACACACACACACACACACACACACACACCCTAGCAACAATAAAAAGAAGAAACAGGCAAATAAGATATCCTCCATCTGTCCCAGGGAGCCAGCCTCTTGCCCTGTGTAATTTTCCTCTTTGCTGTCATCAGAAACCTCTTCCTCGGCCCCTGAAGATTCACACATCTCATCTGTTAACTTATAGGCAATGTCAATAAAGATATGTAATTTCTTAGAGAATCCTAGGCATTTGTACCTACCAATCAGCAGCTCCTCCATGAATTGAATGGAATGAGGCTTCAGTTTGATGGGAATCAGATATATTTTTAGTTTGTGGTGGGGGAAGGGGACTGAAGGGGGTAACCAGAGAAGAATGGAAAAAGCCCAACCCTATTTCATTAAATCTTCATGAATATGCAAAAGAGGAGTAATTGCCCTCTTCAAAAACTAATCATTCTGAATTTTACAAGCTGAATTATAAAACCTGACACACATATTTTTCTCTTTTATTATATTTGTAAGCACTACTCCTTCTGCAAAGAAAATCAAGTCCTATTTTTATCAGTTGCCTCCATCTCCCCTTTTTTTTGCTCCCGACCCTGTTTCTCCCTCCCTTTTGCTGAATGCTGCAGCATTGCCATGTGTATTAATTGCCCTGTGAAATGCACTTGAAGTCATTAGAATTTCCCATTCAAAACTGTTATCTTGTGCCATTATGCCTTTGCATTATATTTATTTAAATGTGCCTCTTCTGAGTTAGCTCATTTTTAACAGCTAGCCATGCCTGAAATATTGTTCCCATCCAAGCTGCTCTCGTATCATTTTTCTCTCTTCTATGGAAGAGATGTCTGCACTCTACCCTTCTGCCTTGACAGGCACAGCTTTGTGGGAAGGCAGACGTTGGTTGTGTGTAACAGGCTTCCTTGAGAAGGAATCCCAAGCTCGGGATATTTCTGCAATGAGGGAACCCCAGGGTCTGGATTAGATATATCCTTCCCAAGAGCAGGTTGCCTATTATCTGTCATATTTGATCTTCATTTATTCTAGAGCATTGACTGAAGAAATGGAGAAATCAAACCCAAGCTTCTAGTATGTTCTTTGCCTTTTGCTCTGAAGAATGCAACAGCGATGCCAATTATCACAGGTGTGACTTCCCAGGCACCATCCAATATCCACATGGTAATCTTACCTTGAGGAGAAGTAATGAATTAAATGGCCATGCAAATTCCCTCCCAGATGTGGGCTTCTTGGGGCTATAGGGAAATTCTGATATCACTTCTCTGACACTGAACTTTTTTTTTTCCCTACTAAGACTTTCCCTACTGTGAAAAGGAATAGCTGTTCCTATTTATCAAATGGACCTTTCTATTTTCACTTGTCTACTAGAGAATTGGCTTCCATTCCCATCTTCTCTCCAGTCAGAGGAGAAAACATACTTGATATGGTTTCACTGTGTCCCCACCCAAATCTCTTCTTGAATTGTAGCTCCCAAATTTCCCACATGTTGTGGGAGGGACCAAGTGGGAGATAATTGAATCGTGGGAGATAATTGAATTGTAGGGGCAGTTTTCCCAGTATTGTTCTTGTGGTAGTGAATAAGTCTGAGAAGATCTGATGGTTTTATAAGAGGTTTCCCCTTTCCCTTGGCTCTCATTCCCTCTCATCTTCTGCCATGTAAGACATGCCTTTCACCTTCCACCATGATTGTGAGGCCTCCCCAGTTATGTGGAACTGTTAGTCCATTAAGCCTCTTTTTTTTTTTTTTAAATAAATTACCCAGTCTCAGGTATGTTTTTACCAGCAGCATGAGAACAGACTGATACAATACTTTATTCAATAACTGAGCTTAGAAAGTATTATTCTTACATGTTTGTACCCCAGAAAGAATTCCACTGGGTAGCTTTTGCTGCTAAGCTCATGGGATCTCTATGTCACATCTGTGTAAAGCATGAAACCAATAACACAGCATCTCCCTAAGTGTGGTCTCACAGAGTTCTTATTTTACCCTTATTATAACATTTTACTTATGAGAAAATTGGAATAAAGAGACTTGACTAAAGTTTACTATCTAGTGAGTGGTGGAGAATGAATTTGAGCTCAGGTTCATTCTGGATTCTTTTTTCTTTCTATGACACCAAGCTGCCAACAGTAGAAATAAAATCAATGTGTAGACATAAATAGTTGGTAGAGAAAATCAAGAACAACATTATGATTGGGTTGGTCAGAAGTTTGACCTGGAGATTAGGAGGAGTGCTTTATGATATGAGGAGCAGGATAAATAAGTTTATCCTTCTGTAAAAAACAGAAAGTTGAGACCTCAGCACTCTTAGGATTCTTGCAAGGCTTCAATAAGGTAAGTTTAGGCAAAAGCTTTTGTGAGCTATGATGAAAGCTGCACGTGTGCAGAAATGTTAACCTTTTTGTTCACTGATGAATCCCAAGTACCTAGAATGTTGTCTGGGTAAATTCTTTTAAAAAGTCTTCAGTTGAATGAGTATGTGACATTATTATTATTGTCAGTACCCTTGGAGGTTCCCTTGATGTTATTATTAGTAAAGCATCAGACACCTGAGCTGGGAGTCTCAAAATCTAAGGGACTAGTCAGCCTACCAACATCACTGTCTGTGAACCAGCTCTGAACACCTCTTGCCTACGTGCAATAGAGAGACCTGGCAGACGAGGGGACTCTGTAATTACTCTAGGGTACTTAAGACTAATGAACAGGTAAGGCCAGCACAAATAAAGGTGTTAAGATATATGTTGGCCTTCCATTAACCCATTCGATCTCTCACATCAGTCAGTCTAATTAGACAGTGGAGACTTGTGCCAGTGGAGACTTATACTTCCTGAATTCTAAGAAGAAAAGGAAGTAACTGGGAATTGAGGAGTGCAGGGAATTGATTGAAATTCCCCTATGAAAAAGGCACCAGGCATCCTACGTGAACCTTTGCACATAGGCTCTGGGTTAGGGTTGGGCATCATAGTGGTTGTCTGCCTGCCCCATGGTGTTATAAGCAGGCTGGGGCATAGGAAAATGAGGTTGAGAATATACTGCATGTTGTAGTTGGTGTACCTCATAACCTCAATACTGACAGAAACTACCATACAGTCTAGTTCTGTCTCTTGGATTTCTTTTTTCTTGTTAGGGAATGATAAGAGAAAATACCTTGTGGAGGTTACATCTGGCTTGATTTCCTCCTAAGGACTCATCTGGCACAACTAGCAGCCTCTTGCTGAAAGGAGAAATATCCCTTCCTAACTTTCATGTGGAGGACCTCAGCACATCCACAGTAGAGAGCTCAGGAAAGATGCTGTGTTGGTCCTGAGAGGTTTGCACCCCCATCTGGCTTGAATCTCTGAAAACTTCCTGTCCAGCCCTATCCCTTAGGAAAATAGAGAGGGCTTTCTCTTATAAATATATTTTTTAAACAAGTAACATCCAGAAAAAGCAAACCCATCCTTCGCTTGCTATGTCAGCCCACAAGTCAAGACCTCCATCAACAATGCCTTCTTTCTAAAACAACCAAACCACAGAAGATTGCTTCTCTTTCAGAGGATGTCCTGTGATTGTGTAAGCGGCTAAAGGCTGCTGTACTTGAACGTCCAAGTACCAAGAGATGTAGCAGGGAGGGATGACAGGCAGCTTGGGCTAGGGTAGGAGTAGGTGAGGCAATACCTGAGAAATTCTGTGAGAAATTGGAGCCTCTGTAGAGAGGGTGTGGCTGAGGGAGTGGATGGGGTAGAACGCGTTTTTACTTTTCAAACACTTTTTAAAAAATTCTACTGTCAGATGACCCTATTCATTAATTCATTTTCTCCCTGAAGACTATTGAATATTTAAGCCAGGAACCTGAGATGTACCCAGCGATTTCATATCAGGTTATATCCGGCTTAATTTCCTCTTACAAGGACTCTTCTGACACAACCAGCAGCCTCTTCCGTATTCCTGGATGGCCCCATCGTTCACTGCCACAGGGACCCAGCAACCCCCTCCTCTCTGCAGCCAGTCCATATCAAGCCGACTTCTTTTCTTCCCACCGAGAAGATTTGTTATTCTCATGTACGGAGAGGGAATTTAGAGATGAATTTGCAGGTGGAAGAAACTCTCTCCTGACTCAAAAATACTTATGTAAAATTGGCTCCAAACACTAAGCCAATTTTTGTGCAAGGGCTGGGGTTTGAGCCTGGTGAAAAACCAGTCTCTTTTTTCTTTTTTTTCTTTTTTTTTTTGAGATGGAGTCTCTTTCTGTCGCCCAGACTGGAGTGCAGTGGCGCCATCTCGGCTCACTGCAAGCTCCGCCTCCCGGGTCCACGCCATTCTCCCGCCTCAGCCTCCCGAGTAGCTGGAACTACAGGCGCCCGCCACCACGCCCGGCTATTTTTTTATTATTATTTTTTTAGTAGAGACGGGGTTTCACTCAACACTTCCATGTCTTTTCCTAGAGTCAGTAAACAGTTGATCGCAAGTGGGAAGGTAAGGGCTGAGGGCCTGACTCCTAGCTCCTACTTCATGGCTCACTAGCTGAGTGATTTTGCTCAAGAAGCCTAAATTATGACTGATCATCTCGTCTTTAAAAAAGAGATAATGATGTTACAAAATTCACAGGGCCGATGTGAGAATTAAACGTGATAATATTTGTAAAAGTGTTTTATACAACACCATAAGCATAAGACATATTATTCGTGCTGGCTGGAGGCAGATGTCTTGACAGAAAATCTCTGGAGGTTGCTCCCAATATAAACATTCTATGATTCTTCCGGCCATTTAGTCAGAGTGGAGACAAATGGCTGCAGCTGCTACCCTTAGCAACCGGCCTTCTTCGCTGTAGGCTGCTGTTTGTCACAGTGACCACTAGGTGTCACCTCCTTTTAAAATCTCTCCCCCTTTCCCAAGCGAATCTAGATCCTTTCAGAAGCAAAAGGCATTGAAGACGGGGTTTAGTCAAGACTGGGGGAACTTGGAGTACTGTCTCCTCCACAGTGACAGAGGTCTTTTGCAAGGATCAAAAGGACTCTTGAATTTAAGAAACATGGATGCATTCAACACACCACCCTTTCTTGCTTGTTCTCAGCTCTCTCTCAGTACTAGTGAGATTAGACTGTTAATTCAAGTCTGTCCAGAAAAAAACTGTGGAACCATTTTGAGGGGTCTGGGAGAAGAAAACTCGCAGCTTTATCTGAACTCCTTGAGAAGAGAACAGTATGAGGAAAAGCACCTGCAAAGCCCCCTTTCTTTTTCCATAACTAGAAATGTGTCTAATCTCACTGCCAGGACCTGTTTATCAACAAGCTCCTACTCAGATTCCCTCACAACATGCCACTAGCCTGAGCTCAGAGCAAGCAATTTGGTTAAAAAGGCCATTGAGCTCTAAGGGTTTTCACTCCAAGTCAGACAGAAGGAGGCTTCAAGAGGTTCTAAAAAGAACTCTGGACTAAGAATGGGGATACTGAGGCTTTAGGCTTCAAGAGGTTCTAGAAAAAACACTGTGCTGGCGATGGGGATACTGAGGCATTGGTCCAGGCAGTCCACATGCTAGCCGCACCACCTCGGGTGAAATCACTCTTCCCCTCTGCATGTATTTCCTTCTCTGTAAAGGTAAAGATTTGAGTAAGAGGATAATTAAAATCTCCTTCAGAGGCTAAAATTCTATAAAATCACAGAGTTACGTGTGTGGGTAATGTGTCAGATACATAACATTGACATTCATCTGCTTGTTGCCTTGTCAGGACACTTGATGAGGATTCTTGCCAGTTTAAGAAACATGCATCCATTTACTTACTAAACCCCATTCTTTCCCAAGGAGTTCAGATAAAGCCATTAGTTTTCTCTTCCTGAAGCCTTCAGAATGGTTCAGTGGTTTTTCTGGAAAGATTACAACAGACAGTGATGAAAATCCACTCGTGTTCTTATTACTCAGAGGACAAGCCAAAAAGAGCGGTATGTTTAATTTATGCATGTTTCTTAAATTCAAAAGTCCTTTCATCCTTGCTAGTCTTTGCGTGTGCACTATAAACTCCTGAAGGCAGAGGCCACGTCTTCAGTCTATCCTCCTTCCTCTTCCCCCTCCATATAGACTCAATCCAGGGCTCTGTACTCTGCAGTTGTGCAGTAAATACAAATGACTCACTGACATCAATTACAGGGGAAGAAAAGACTTAGTCTAGATGAAAAGTTCTAGAGTATTCAGGTTTAGTATAATATATCAATAATAATGGCTAATCTTTATTTAACACTAATTGATAAGCAAAATAAGGACAGAGATTTGTCATCTGCATTGTTAATTGCTGTATCCAAGAGGCTATAACAGAATAATGCTTGGGACATCTAAGGCATTTGCTAAATATTTGTTAAATAAATAAATGAATGAATATTTACCATGGGTATGTTTTACACATTGCCTTGAGAGGCATTACTATTATTTTCATCCATATTAGGGGGGAAAGAACTGAAACTAAGAATATAAAAGTAACCTGCCAATTCTCATACCTACCGTGGGCAGCAGTGGGATTCATACCAGCTTGTCTGGTCCCCAAATCTACCTTATATATAAAGCTCAACACTATGAAAACAACTTATCATTTCCTTTGATAACATATCTGAGGTGAGAATATATACTTTTCTTTTGTGATGCATTAATAATTGTTTTCCCTCAAAAGAAGAGGATAGGAAAAGATGTTTTCCCAGGTCCCTAACTCCACAGAGTGAAGAGGGGAAACCTTCCATTTCTCTGGAAAGGAAGGTTCAGGAGGAGTCAATTTACAAATCTGGCACTAGGTGGCGAAAAGCAGATTAGCGTATGTGTCACTAAGGACCTGTACTAGGATTAAGCACGGATTAAGTGCTTTGTGTGTGTTGGTGAAAGGATGAATAGGGAAACCCTGGAGGCATTCATAAGAAAAAGAACTTTGGCTTATAAGAAGAGGATTGGAAATTGCCATGATGGAAGAACCCAGGCATGATTCATTTTCTTTCTATAATTCATGTGCTTGTTCTGTAGATATCTGTTGAACACCTATTTATGTCATTATTTTTCTCAGTGCTGGGGATACAGGAGTGAACAAGACAAACATCCCTGCCCATATTATGGAGCTTATGCACTCCTGGCACACCATGGATCCTAAGCAAACTCATATTTCTCCCTTAGTCCTGCTAACCAGGGTTCAGAGAACCTACTGAAGGCTTTGCAGAGATCTTCCCAAACCTGAAAATGAAAATCATAAGAGTTGAGTTATTTTTTCTTAATTATTTCCGATATATTAAACTTCCATAAACACATACACCCTTATTTCATCGCACCTCTTTCCCCATAACTCCCAAAAGTTATGTACATCCTGATTTTATTCTACATCTTTTTTCTAGTCTTCCCAAGGCTGGGGGAAATGGACCCTGTGAAGCACAAGAATGCATAAACTAAATCAGATATTGTAAGATTATTTTATCAATGTTAACTGGCATGAGGAGAGTAATCCTGTACTCGCTGCCAATACTCTTCAAGAAACTGTAAACCTGGTACTGAAAGAGACCTTAGAGATGGTGGATTTTAACTCTTCTATTTTACAAACGGGTCTACTGAAGCCTGGAGAGGGAACATGACTACCTTATGAAGGTCACAGAGACAGTTTGAGTAATAGGCCTGTATCTCAGGTCTCATGTTACCTAATCCAGAATGACACAATTGCAAGGCTCCCAGTGGAGACACAAAGACAGGAAGAAACTTCAGGGGGAGAAAGCAATGTGGAAGTCCTCAAGCATGCTGGATATTAACTGTATGATTTGCCACAGCTTAAATTGATTCTTCCATTAAAATAGGCATTGAGTATGCCCATGACATCTGTTCCCAGGGCTCTCCACTTTTACCCAGCAGGACAATAAGACTTCAAATATGTCAGTAGGTATCCACTGTCCTCATCATCACATGCCTAGGCCGTTAGCACCACCTCCGGGAGTGTCTCAAAGCTTCCCACCTCTCTCTCCGTACTTGGACGAAGTTAATTTTCCAAGCCCACCAGTTAGCCATTCTCCTTCTTCACACCCATGAAGATACTATGTTGTCTCTCAAATCAAATACAGCCTTCAGAGTCTGACATCAAAGGGCTGGCTCAGAGTAAGCATCCATGGTCAAATACCTTCCTGTCAGGTACCAGACACAGGCTTCATGTCAGCAAGTTGCCTTTAATTTGCCCCCAAGCCCTATGAGTTCAGTGTGAGCTGTGAGTGCTCTTTGCCAAGTATATCCAGCTCTTCTCCTTCTGAACGAATACAAGATTGTACTTCCCTGAATCCCTTGAAGTAAAGCACGAATGATTAGAGAAGACCAAGCGCGTGGTTCACAAAGCATCCTACCCCTTTGACAAGGATAGGCTTGAAACAGGAGAGGAAAAGTAACCTTTTAGAAGCCACAGAGATGTAGGGGATTGTTCCTGCAGTATATTCTATTCCAGCCTATCCTGACTAATTCAGCTGTTCTTATTAACCCCATTTTACAAAGCAGGACACTGAGGCTCACAAAGGTCTTATAAGTTGCTCCATTTATGCATCTGGCAATTAACAGAATGAAGTTTTAACTTTGAGCCCTGGCATGCCTGATTTCACAGCTTGTGATCTATGGACCACAAAGAGGTGTCTACCCATCTAGGCTGGGGCTCACAATTGGTCCCTCTGCCTTTAATCTCTTATGCTTCCAATATTGTATATTCAAATATTTATTGTTGTCTTTTCTAAGTACCACTTTGATCATGTTTTTCACAGAGAAACTTCCAAGGCTTTCTTTTGCCTATATAATTAAAGGAAGAAAGTAATAGGAAGCCTGATACAAGATCCTTCCTTTCAAAAACATCTGCTTGCTGCTCCCCTGACTGCCTGGACTCTGACATCACCTGTGAGGTTGTACCAATCAGGATGAGCTGAAAGAAGGGACGGGACAGTGCTGTAGATTTCCTTGCCTCTGGCTCCAGGGATCCTGTGGATGAAACAGATCTTTGGGAGTTATTTTATTTTCTATGCCGATACTCACTCTTCAGAATATATCAAGAGAAGCCATCTCCACCTCATTGTAGGGTAGATCAACTCTGGAATTTTCTCAGACTCCTTCATTGCCCTAAGAATTGTTCTCTTTTCTATTTCTCATGAGACTAGAGATGACCCAGCTCTCACATGCAAAGAAGTGCCAAAAAGACAGATCAAATATACTTGGAAAGATTCCACCATGCAACCATATGCCCTAGGTTAGGTTCTGATTTCCCAAGGCACCTGCCTGCTCCCTCGAACTATTTCTCGGCATTGATATTTACAGAAAAATAATAAACATAATCCACATTGGCGCACATATTGATCCCCAGATTTCACTGACATTTACGGATAAATGATGGATTGCCTTTTTTGTGAGGCTAGCTGAGCTGGCCTACGTGGCCTGTACATAATTTACTTTTGATTAAAGGAGTGCTTCAACATCGAGATTCTGTTTGGGAGCATGAGGCAGGATCGATGCATTTATGACACAAACTTTCAAACAATGTACTCTGAGCGAGAAGTCTCTGCACTCAATTCATCTCAGATTTAGTTGGTGGGAGGGAAGGGAGAAGAAAGAGGAAAGGCCTGGCATTTCTAAGAGTTTGTCATGGGGTAACGTTCAAGAGTCTGAAAATAAAGTGGCTTTGTTTTCTGTGGCTTTGGGTCTATGCCATCATCAGGGAAGAGTGATAGAAGGGATTTCAAGGGTCCAGGATCACTCCCAAAGACCCCTAGAGAAATAGGAAGAAACAGTGACACCAGTTATTAGGAAGGACAGGCCTTCCAAGAAAACTGGGAATTTTCTTATCCAGTGTTTTGCCTGTTTTTGCCCATCCTGCAAAGGCAAAATTTCACTTGCAGACTATATCGGTTGATCTCAAATGCTGGAAGCTGAATGCTTTTAGATAGATGGGGTGTGCATGCTCTGTTTTGCCACATTCCACACTATCCCTTGTTACATCACAACTGGCCTGTTTTAGTAACCTTTGCTTCTGCCTTATCCCCAAGGTAATTCATGTTGCCACTCCTGCTCAAGTTACTCTGGTTTGGTGTTCTTTTTACTTTTCTCTTAAAGACAAGGCCTCCCTATGTTGCTCAGGGTGCTCTCGAATTCCTGGGCTCAAGTGATCCTCCTCCTCAGCCCCCAGGATAGCTGGGACTGCAGGCATATGCTACTACGCTTGGCTTGGTGATTTTTTTTTTTTTTCTGAATGTGCTAGTCCAGAATGATGTCTCCATTTTCTTCATGATTACATTTGGTTGGTTATAGAATGACAATTATTATAGCAAAATGTATGAAACCTATACCTGTGTCTCATTTAAGGCTCACAACAGGCCTCTGAGGAAGGTAATGTCATTACCCTCATTTTCAGGATAAGAAAATGGAGGCTTTGAAAGGTAAAATGACTTATTCAAGGTAGCATAGCTGGCAAGCATGCTACCTTGTTCAAACCAGGTATGTCTCACTTCTAGGCCTTTAAATCAAATATCTGACTGATTAAACCACCTGAAGAAGCTACTGTCTCTTCCTTTGTTGGAGAATAATTTCCATGAAGATGGGAGACCCATTTTACATACCACTATAGCCCCAGGGCCCATACATTATAAACACACTCTTCATAATGTGTGCAGCTGTGGCTGAAGTTCAAGGGAGCCCTGGCCCAGCAGCTATACTTGTACAGGTTATGCCTTGCACCTGACTGAGGACCAACAGGAGGAAGGGGTTGGGGGAAGCTGAAATCCAGCCCCCACTCCGTGGACCAGACCGAGCCTCTTAGTTTGTGGCTACATCCACCTGGAAAAAATGGGCACCTTTTCCTAATTTGTACAGAGGTGCTATTTGGGCAAATAGTGGCCTAGATAGAGCTTCAGGAGACCTCAGGGTAAACCCATTGCCAGTGACTGGAGGACACAAGGTCTCAACTTGGCATTTCAGGATGGGTGATGGAGGGAGAAACAGAAGGATGCAGCAATAGGGAATAGTCAAAAAGGATGCTACTTAGGGCCCACAGTCAAAGGAGATAGTCTGTCCCGTTTGTATTCTTGGTTCCCCATATTTCCCAATTCTTTCCTTTTTGTTCCCCATGGTAGAAGCCTTACTCAAATCTCTTATTTCCTATTTAGCCCTCCCTTTCTACCTTCAACAAATATTTATCACACTTCTGCTATGCACAGGGCACTGTAGTAATATAGATCTGGTCCCTGACTTTGTGAAATTTGCAATCTTGTGGGTGGGGGGGTGTATGACCATTGATTAGTTTTTGTTTTTTTTGTTTTTGTTTTTGTTTTTTTAATTTATTTTTTTATTGATAATTCTTGGGTGTTTCTCACAGAGGGGGATTTGGCAGGGTCATGGGACAATAGTGGAGGGAAGGTCAGCAGATAAACAAGTGAACAAAGGTCTCTGGTTTTCCTAGGCAGAGGACCCTGCGGCCTTCCGCAGTGTTTGTGTCCCTGATTACTTGAGATTAGGGAGTGGTGATGACTCTTAACGAGCATGCTGCCTTCAAGCATCTGTTTAACAAAGCACATCTTGCACCGCCCTTAATCCATTTAACCCTGAGTGGACACAGCACATGTTTCAGAGAGCACAGGGTTGGGGGTAAGGTCACAGATCAACAAGATCCCAAGGCAGAAGAATTTTTCTTAGTGCAGAACAAAATGAAAAGTCTCCCATGTCTACTTCTTTCTACACAGACACGGCAACCATCCGATTTCTCAATCTTTTCCCCACCTTTCCCACCTTTCTATTCCACAAAGCCGCCATTGTCATCCTGGCCCGTTCTCAATGAGCTGTTGGGCACACCTCCCAGACGGGGTGGTGGCTGGGCAGAGGGGCTCCTCACTTCCCAGTAGGGGCGGCCGGGCAGAGGCGCCCCTCACCTCCCGGACGGGGCGGCTGGCCGGGCAGGGGGCTGACCCCCCCACCTCCCTCCCGGACGGGGCGGCTGGCCGGGCAGAGGGTCTCTTCACTTCCCAGTAGGGGCAGCCGGGCAGAGGCGCCCCTCATAGTTTTTGTTTTTTGAAACAGAGTCTCGCTCTGTCACCAGGCTGGAGTGCAGTGGCACAATCTCAGCTCACTGCAACCTCCACCTCCCAGGTTCAAGAGATTTTCCTGCCTCAGCCTCCCGAGTAGCTGGGACTACAGGCACGTGCCACCACGCCCAGCTATTTTTTTGTGTGTATTTTTAGTAGAGGCAAGAGTTTCACCATATTGGCCAGGATGGTCTCGATCTCTTGACCTCGTGATCTGCCCACCTAGACCTCCCAAAATGCTGGGATTACAGGCATGAGCCACTGCGCCTGGCTGACCATTGATTAGTTATAATAGAAATGCTTTTCAGGATGATAGTAACCAATAATTACATTTATTGAGAGGCTACTATGCATCAGGAATTTTGGTGAGCACCGTTAATGCATTATCTTATTAACCTTTACAATATGCTATGAATTAGATATAATCTTCTTTCTTTAAAGTCTTTACTCCAGAAATTCTATCCTAAATGAGAAGATGAGAAGTAGTTAAAACTTTTCCTCTCAGTCAGATGCTGCACTCACAATCACTTGGATTTTTATGTGTTCTTTGTATGTGGTTGAATTTTAATGCTAACATATCTACCTTAGTCTCTTCCATCTCCAAAGCTAAGGTTGAGAAACCTCAGCCTCCAGACCACCCACAGCTCTTTATGTCATGGCTCTGCACAGCTTTCCCAGGCTACCTTTGGTGTTACGGCCATTGAATACCCTTCTCAATGCTGAACCCCAGCTCACAAGTCCTCAATGTGTAGAGCTCATCTAGGATTTATTCAATAGTAAACAAGCTCCAATCCCCGCTCTCTAAAACAGAGCCACCCTTCCTTGCCATTCTGTACTTAATGTTGCAGATATAGCAGTCATTAAAGCAGAATTTAGACTTCTATTAGCATAGTTTATGGCTTTCTTTTTTGCACCTTCCATATGGAAGTATCATTTCTTTGGGCTGAGCAAGAAAACGGTGACTGGCAGATGCTATATTCAAATAGAACATGTCAACATTACATGTAAACCATTGTTTTTTCCATGTAATGATCTCTTGGTCACTAGACTGCTCCATTGACCATCTTAATGGAAGAACTTGTGCAGGATCACGTTCCTATATGAGAATGTAGAAGACTCTAACTTGAATCAGGTCCAGCAGTAGGCGGGGAATGAGAGAACTTTTACTGATGTATCAGATCCTGTGCTAAGGACTTTATATTTGCTATCTTCTTTATTCCTTACAAAACACTTGAGAGAGATTATTGTTGCTATTTTTTTTTTAATTTGAAAACTGAGTCCCAGTGAGGCAAGCAGTTTGTCCAAGATCACTGGGTTATTCCCTAAAAACCTATTGGAATAATAATAATGATAACAAGATCACTAGGTCAAATAGAAAATAAGCCAGATGTTAGAATCAGGCCTAAAAAGCTCTGAACTTCCCCCACTGGTGCACCCTTCATTCACCCACACACACCAGAAGAGGGTGGGGCTGGTGTCATAGGCCCAAGTGGCCACATTTGTAGTTCTCAAAATGTGGGGAAACAGCCCATCAGCATCACCTGGGAACTTGCTAGAAATGCAAATTCTTGAGTCCCTGCTCAGAACACCTGAAGCAGAAACTCCAGCAGGTGGGGATCAGAGATCCAGATTTATTAAGTCCTCTAGGCAGGCTTATGTTTGAAAACCATTGGCTTATTTCACTCTTTGAAGCTCAGTGAATCATCATTCTTTGCACAAAAAGAGAGAAGCAGAAAACTTCCTCTCTGAAAATTGGAACTAGGCGGGCAGACTCTAGCTTGTTTAGAGATTTGAACTGGAGTTCCTGAGATTTGTCCTGGCAGAGGAAGAATGTTGAAGTTGACCATGGTGTGAAGAATGGTGGCTCCCACCATCATGAGCAGAAAACTCAGAGAGGAGGAACTAGGGAAGATTAGATTCAATCATCAAGAGTTTTAGTGATTTTCTTAGCAAAAGAGGCATTGGACAGAGGAAAGCTGGTCAGAATCCTATGGGATTCTCAGAATCAGAAAAGCGGTTTTGCTTCCCTCCTGTCACCCAATTCTTTTCTTCCTTAATGTAAAATAAAGTTACCTTACAAATGCCAGCTTCATCTTCCCAGTAAAGGGAGTTAAGGGAAAAGGCTTTGCCTACCTTTGGACTGGGTGTTGGTGATAAATGCAAGATCCCTGAGTGCCTGGCATAAAGACAGTTGCCTGAGCCAGAATGAGGAACCCCTAGAATCCTGCCTCTTTTCACATGGAGCTTCTCGCCACTAGTTTTTCCTCTCTTCATATTGTATCCCTGTGATGAATGTGTGTGCGTGTGTGTGCACATGTATGTGCATTTTGCAGGGCGGTTGGGGAAATGCACAGGTTTGTGCTTTATTTTCATAATGGGCCCTGCTTCTTAGCAGCTAATCTGGGTCTGGAAAGTGAAAATCATTAATACAACAAGAATGAAAACCCAGACAATGCAACTTTAAGAAATTTGGGCGGTGGAGCTTAAACTCACCTTTGTGGGCAGTATCACCTCAGATATTAACAATTTAAATATCTGATTAAAATCATGTCAAATATAGCCATAAATTCAGAAGTGTGTGTACACCCCCCCCTCCCCCAACAAACACACATGCAATAAGTCTCCCTCTTCCTTGAAGCCTTGAAGAGGTAAAGACTTCACAGAGAGGCTGGCAGCTTTAGGGGCTATCTAATATCCTATGGGGGGTCAGGCAGCCTGTCCTAGGAGTGTGCCCTGAGAACTTTTTACTGAATAATTTTTTTTAAAGCAGGTTCTCCCTCTGTTGCCTAAGCTGGAGTGCAGTGGTGCAATCATAGCTCACTGCAGTCTCAAACTCCTGGGCTCAAGCGATCCTCCCACCTTGGTCTCTCAAAGTGCTGAATGAACTTTTAAAAGATCCAGGCAAGATCATATCCTTGCTTAGACGTTGTTAATGCTTCCACTATCTGCAGAGTAAAGTCCAAAATACTTTAACATGACATACACTGCACAGCCCTGCACAATCTGATTCTTCATTTTACCTCATGCAGCAACCACATAAGATCAATGTTCTCTCCATTCCCCAGAATTTTGTCTCTTTCATGCTTCCTGGGCTTTGTTCATGCTGTTCCCTAAGGCTGCATGTTCTGTCTGCCTGTCTTCTTCTGTCTACTGACATGCTGTTTGTTTATCAAGCCCATCTGAAATGCCACCTTTGTGGCATGGTTCCTTTCTTGATCTCTCTCAGGCAGAATGGATTGTCTTTACCATTCCATTCCCATTCGTGCTGTTTTATTTGACACCCAGCTTCACTTCTTACTAGCTTGTAGGTGGGCACATCATTAAACTTGTCTGATACTCAGGTTAGGTTCTTTGCACAATTCTTGTCTCATTCAAGTTATTATGCTGATGAAATGAGATAATATGTCCAACGCACCTAACAGTGCATTTATGCTCTCCATCCTCCCCCTTTTTTATTCCTCTATAGTATTTTTTTACTATACTCTGCACACTCATTTGCTTAACTCTTGGCCTGGCTATTATCCCTTCAAAATAGAGAGTTTCTGAATGGTAGAGGTCATCATATTTAGCATTATTTCCCCTAAATGCATTGTACAGTGCCTGGCATTTAGACTGGTATTTTAAAGATACTTGTAAATTTGTATTTATATGAACTCTAAATCCACCTTAGCACCACTGGTGATGATTTTCTCTGCTCACTTGCTGATTTACTGAATTCCCCCAACGCAGTTTCCCCAGTGATGATGGGTTGAAGCTATGGAATCACCCTGTGGTTGATTATATTGTTCATACTGTCAACTTCCCCCCTAAGTGCATAATATACATCTCCATCTCTGCAAAGCCTTCCTGTTTTATTTACAGGGTTTTCCTGTGACTTGCTTTGGCTAGTGGATCAGGGGAGAATATGAAATTTGCACTCTCAAACAGAAGTAGTAAATGCACTTGGGTGATTGGTCTCGAACCCTTTCATAGACGACAAGTATATCTCAGACTGTGGCCACTCCTCTAGCTTGGCTTCCGAATAAGAGCTCAGCCAGCTCATGTTACTCACAGTCTTCATAGAACATGAAAATGCAAGAAACACTGTTGGCATAAGCCCCTTCGAAATTGAGATTGTTACTGAAGTAAAAGTTCACTAGCCCACAACCTTGAATTCTCATCTGCAGGGTCTGCTCTTGTCCAAGGGGTTGAGACTTCCTAGGCCCTAGTTCCTGAATTCCCTTCTCTCTGAGATTTGCTTTTATAAAGCTCTGTACCTAAATGGCAGCATGTACTGTAACTAAATGTGACCATAAAGAGGGAAAAGTTATAATGTTGTTTCAGAAAATTGTTGTTCTCATTACCTACCTTATTGCCATATGTTCTAATCTAAAGCACTGCGATATGGGAAATTATGGTGACACAAAGATGAAGTGATGTTCTGGCTAACGATACCCCCCAAATATTTATTCTGGTTCCCTCCCCAGCCATGCCCACATGCACAATTGATGCCAGCTTCCTCAATTAGAAGTCCAGGGCATAAAGAAAATGAGGACGAGGCCGTTTGCATTTCTGAAGCTTGACAAGGGAAGATTAAAATCTTTTATGAGTTCTCCCCCATCATATGTGGAACGTGGCGCTCGCATATTTCATTTTCTCAGGAAAAAATAGTGTTTGCATTATTTGGAGAAAATCATTACGAATGCGACTAGTCAGCAGCCGTGGTGGGCCCTGTTACATTACCATTTCTGAGTTATGCTTTGTACTTGGCTTTCTCTACATACTCTTTCATTTTGTTAGAGTTTGTGCATCAGGAAAGGGATAAAACACGGCAGCTCAGGCACTGTGAGTGCACCGGACACACAACATGGAGAAGCACTTCTTGCAAACTGGAGAACACTGAGAAATGTGAACGGGGGTCTCCTGGAGTGGGAAACCCAGCCATCAAAACCTACATTAAATTGCAGCCAAGTCTCCTCACCTTCTTTCCCTACAGATGCCTCTCACCCCTAATCTGAGTGAACTCTCGGGAAAAGAAGGCAACCCAAGAGACTGGCTTTTCACATGGTTTGACCACATTATCTCAACTGCCTTTTGGTGACCTCTGTGTCATGTGTGCTGGGTAACAAAGAGGAGGGCCCATATTTAGAAGAGAAGGCATTGTGACATTTTTTGAAGAGCAAGTATGGGTGTTACAGTCACATAGAACTGGCTTCATATCCCAGTTCTTCCACTATGGCTGTGTAACCTGGAGAAAACTATATAATCTATCTGTACCTCAGTTACTGCATGCATAAAATGGGGCAATGATTTTTTAAAAACTTGTGAGGATTAGTGATATTGTATGTAACTTACTAGGCACAATAGGCATTCACAAAATGTTATTTGCTGAGTGGCTTTCTAACATTATAATAAAGGGATTCTTGGGGGTTTTCTGTTTGCTTGTTTTCATTTTTAGGTATTTTTTAAATTTTGAAAGAAAGAGACACCACTCTGTTAGGCCACAGCATCTTGTGCTAACTTCAAAATGAGCACTGATCACGTTGTAACATAAGCGTAAACCCACCTGCCTCTCCTGTTCAATGATAATCCCCAGAAGATAGAAACTCTGTTTTTATTTGCCACTGCCACTCCAGTGTCTGGTTAGCAGCATCTGGAGCACAGCAGCCACTCAGTAAATAATTGTGGAAAGAAAGAAAAAAAAGAGAGAGAGAGAATGGAAGAAAAAGAGGGAAAGAAAGAAAGAGAAAGGAAGGAAGAAAAGAAGAAAAGGAGTTAGCCAAATCACACTCCTTGGTAATGGAGAAGCTGAGATTTGAAACCATGTGGACTTAATAGCCAAATCCTTGCTGTTTCCATTACAGCTCCCTGTATCTATTCCTTACTGCCTGAAACTCTTGCTGGGGATGAAGAAAGGGACACTTAAGATCCCAAACAGGGCCAAGTACCATGTCCAAAAGGCATTTGGTTCATTTTCCGGCTTCAAGTGATTAACCGTGCTATTCTAAAAGATAACCATGAAATCAAGTGTCCAAAAAATGCATGACAGTTTTGAGCTGGTTGGCTCTTACTTCATCAGTTCTTGAGTACTCATGAGTTGATCCAATAGAAGTTATCTTCAGCTCCCTTCTTTTAAATCTATGTCCTCTGACTCCAAGTGGACTTCAGAGATGCTTTGATTTGATTTGCCCAAGTTTGCTTCAAATTTGCCATAAACTTTGTTTCAAATTTTAAGGCTATATCTCCAAATTATGTGCTCTTTCTGCATACTACATAGCATGGCATAAGTTGATGTTGTAAGGACCATTCTGTAGGGAGGCTATCGAGAAAAAATTTAGATCCAGAGACTATTACATTTGGAAGACAACTTAGAGTTCATCAGATCCAGCCCCCTCATTTTGCAGATTGGGAAACAGATGCCCAGAGAAGGGAAGAAAGTTGCCTAAGGTCACAGAGCTGTGACTTCCAGTATAGGATATTTTTCACTATATGAGCTCATTTCTTGTTCTGCAATCCTGGAGCTTCTTCTTTCTCACATTCAAGATGGCCTTATGACCTGTTTTTTATTGAAGCCAACAACCTCCAGCACTCTTTCGGAGAAGCCAGAAAGGCATCCCCTCTTTACCTACTGACAATCGTTAACATTTAGACAACAAACCGCAAAGTTTGTATACCAAGATTCATCAATATCAGTCTTACACTTAGGCACAGGCAAATGGTAAATATTTACTCCTTTCTCATCAGGTTTTGCAAATAGGAACAAGAGAAATTTGACACAATTTCTCCATGGTCTTTGAAGACAGACTGCCATACTCCTCAGATTCACTCTAGCTGTCTTCCTTGGCTGCCCACTCTCCCTTCTTGCTAGGAGATGAACCTCATAGCTGGGCTCAAGTTTCAGCTCCTTCACAATTGTTGTCCGTCACGAGCTCCCAGTCCATGTTGATGTCAATGAAGAGATAAATAGAGAATTACAAGTCACTGGGCTGCACCTGTATATCTTAGAAGCCCAGTATCAGGTCTTCTACTTGATGTCTTTAATGTCACCAAAGGCAATGAAGGCATTTATAGCCAGAGTTTGGCTGCTAATTTAGGTTTTAGTACGAGCCACTGAAGGACATCTGGGTCATCTCTTCTTGGACCAGCTTGGGGCCTGCTGGGCTGATGGAAGCAAACACAATTTATGCAGATAAGATCATCATCTGAAACTGCTGAAGGCAGAAGAAGCCCTGATGAGGTGGAGAAGTCATCCATTTGCAGGCCTATGATCAATGTTTTAAATATCCTAAGAAGGTCTGTTTTAATAGTTCTAACTCAGAGAAAGTATAACTCAGAGTTACTGCAGTATGTCTCAGCCAGACCCAAGTCACCGTGGGTATAATTTATACACACATACTGGGCTGCCTGTGCCAAGCATTGGCATGTCTCGTTTATATGCTCCCATCATGAGGACCTCAATACATTTTTAATTTAAAAACAATTGATAGGACTGAAACTGTAAATCCCCTTTTGCTAAAGAGAAAACTTTCTAAGAGTTTCAGTTTTGCAGAAGGGAGGTGGAAACCACTCTTAGCTGATTAACTATTATTATTATTCTTTTATTCTTCATCTCTGTGTAACTGATCCTAGATTTTCCAGCTGTTTTCTCTAAATGCAATGTTGATAACTTACTGCCTAGGCTAATCCTATGTGGCTCAGCACCAAAAAGTTTTAGCTGATTAGTTAGCTCCCTAGGTTAGAGGCCTGCTTAGAACATGGTGGAGGGGGAGAAAAAGCTTACCTGGAAATCTGAAGAATGAGATCTTATGGTACATTGAGTCACCACAGTTGCTTATGCCCTCCCTTCATTAGAATTATATATCTGTATCTTTGGCCCAAGTGACTTCGAAGTACTTCCACTAGAATGAATGAAATTTTGTTTTCCTGTCCCACTGCTTCTTTGATTTAGCTCATCTAACTTTATTTAGCCAATGGAATGTAGGTGGAAGTGAGAATGTTCCAGTTCTGAGCTGAGGTCTCAAGAGATATCTTATTTTTCTGCCTGTCCTCCTTCACACCTAAGCTCCACTATAGCACAAACATGCCCCTGGCAGTGGCTGACCCAAGAGGGTAAGAGACTCATGGAGCAGACCTAGACCCAAACAGAAGCCTGGAGCCAAGACGAGCAGAGCCCACAGCTGCCACAATTGACATGCAGTCCTGTGAGCAAAAAATAAATAATTGTTAGAAGCTACTGACTTTTGGGGTGGTTTGTTACACAGCAAAGACTAATATAAGCTTTATCTTAACCCTGTCAATAACTAGTTAACACTAATCAAGTCATTTCTGCCCAGGGCCTCAGTTTTCTCCTCTGTAAAAAGCAAGAGTTAAACCAGGTAATTTCTAAGTCCTCTTCAAAATCTCTTCAAATTCTAGAAATTAGTGTCTGCAATGTATGGCATGAATTTCTAGGAAAACCTCTTGTAAATGCATGCTGCTGGTTACTAAGGAGAACTGAACTGGACAGTGAATTTTTGCTGGTTATTATTGTTTTCTCTTTCTCATGGATAAGATTAAATTAAATGTGAGAATACAAATGTTATAATTTATAGTTGATAATTGGTGTGTATTTTGCTAATTCGAAGTATAAAACCAATGTATTTACCACGTTGGTTGTTAATTTCCTCCTCAGTGAATTGCTATACTTAATAGAAATATTGCTTTATGCAATAGGAAATTCATAAACAAAATATAAAATGATTGTGGTTAAAAGAACACATCAAATTCGGTTAAAATAAAAATTATTCTCACTTATGAGAACAATAGTAATTTCCACTTTGAGCTCCTATTAACAATTAATAAGTGTTCTAAACCATTACATATATTACCTCATTTAATTCCCAAAATAATTTTTTGAAGATTGTTTTAGTTTTCTAGATGAGTTACCTGAAGCCCTAAAAGTTTAAATGCCTTGTCTCAAATAACCACCTTGCAAAAACTAGAGGCAGAGATTTGAACCCAGGTCTATCTGACTCCAGACCTGAAGCTTGTGCTTCAGATAGGGTTGCTACTTGCCTCAGAGCTCTCAGCCCAAGTCAGGTACAAGGCATGCCCTGTGAGGTAACTGTACCTTTTATTGCTACACCATACAGTGGCCGACCACTGACTGTGTATTATCTGTGATGCTTCTGGACATCTTTCAAATAAGTGTGATGTGTAATAATTTCATATCACAAACTCAAGTGTGGAAAAAAATACCATTTCCACCTGATGACAAGAAATCTGCATATTTTCATATAGTCACAAAATTGAAATGAAACTTTTTTGGCATAAACTCAGTCATATTAAGAGTTCATTCCTTGTCTCCTTTCTGGCCAGGTGTCATCTAATGTTTGGAGGAGGGTCTTAAAAGCAACCAAAGGGTGATGAGGGAAAAATGGCGAGAGACATTGCATTTGCCACTCCCTGCCCTCACCCTTTGTTGGCCTAGGATGCTGTTTACTCTTTGGCCATTAGCTTTGATCCCTAGGGCATGTACTGCCCTTGTCCATGGTCCTGCAGTTACCTCTCAGTACCAGAACTCATGGCTATCTCTGTGTGCTAATGCTATCAGGCCCCTTTAAATCTACAAGGTATCCCTCAACCATTTCCACTTGTCTCCTGGAAGCTCAGAAAATTCTGTATGCTTCCCTTTGCTACTCCTAAAGAAACCTAGGAGGCTGTTTCAATTCAACTTTGCTAGACACATAATGCCACTTTACTATTTCAGTACTGCTGCTCCATGCTGGCATGCAGGAATTCTCTCCTGACTCTTCAGGTTTTACCAGCACAGTGAAGCCTATGTCTTCTCTGAGACCCCTTGTTCCTTCAGGACCTGCCCCACTGGGTAGCTGGCAGGACACTGGGCCCCTTGTCAGCTATCATCTGGTGTCTCCTCATGTCCCCTTTGATCCTTGCCTACATACTTCTCCTCTCCCTCCCCCTACCACCGGCTCCATTTTTGTCTTGCCTCCAGGGCTAAATAAAATGGCTCTTCCATTCTTTTTTAAGTCACTTGCTTATGTCATGCACTTTATGCCATGATTCCTTCAGGGCTTTACCTCTGATACTGAAAAGGGCCTGGCTGTTACAAATCAGAAGCAATAATTTTAAAAAATCTATTTAGAAACTCAAAAAGCCCAGAACTTACTGGGTTTTCTCTCCCTTTATATTACTGCTCTAATAATCTTAATCTCCCTTGGGGCAAAGGGTGCCTCTGATTTAATAGGAGAAGGATGGCAGGATAACTTGTGGAGGTGAGGAAGGCACAGGAGGTAGGGAGATTCTTGGGTAATATCTCAGAATAGTCATCAAGCAATAAAGGGATGCAGTTGATAGTGAAAGCCGTAAATGCTCAATTTCTGAGGCTTCTCATTCATTCATTCAATAAATATTTGTTAAACACTGACTACGTGCTATCTTAGGAGCTGCATAAACAGCAATAAACAAGGCAGACAAGGCTGCTGCTTTCATAAAGCTTTTATACTCTAGTTGGGGGAGACAAACAATGAACAAGAAAACAAATGTATAAGGTAATGAATTACATATAGTGCTAACTAAGAAAACACATTGATGATCTATAGAGCATAGGGAAGAGGTGGGGCAGCTACTTTAGACTGGTCGGGTAAGGAAGGTCTTTCTTAATGTCAATATCTGAAATGAAACTGAATAGTGAGAAGGAGCCAGAAATGGAAAGATCTGGGGGTCAGATGCTCCATGGAGAAGGCACAGCAAGCACAAAGGCCTGCATAAACAGCAGCTAAGGACAGGAGGAAAATCGGAAGGATGTCTGGAAGCATCATGAGTGAGAAGAGAGGGTGGCGCAGAGGTCTGAAAGAAGCAGGGGCCCGATAAAGGTCTTTCATGGTGGAGTTTGAATTTTATTCTAAGGGCAAGAGGAAATCATATAGGATTATAAGCAAAAGAAAGACACAGTCATTTACTTTTAAAAACATTCTATCTATCTGCTGGGTAGAGAATAGCGTACAAAGAGGCAGGAGCAGAACAGGCAATAGCCTTAAGGGTTCTGCATAGAAAAAGCCCTATGAGTAGCTCTCCCTGCTAGTAGTGTTCCAGATTTCAGCCAATATCAGGGAAGTCCAGAACTCCCCTTCAAATAACCTCCTGATGAATGGTCACTAGGATGTAGTTCACTGAACTTCAGCAGCTTTTCCTGCCCCTCCTCTCTGTCCAACTGGAGCCCTTTGGAGGGAACTCAGGGAATGTTGTGCTCTGTAGGCGCCGGCTAGAGACCACCATGAATCCAATTATTTTCTCTTATCTAAATTGAGGCTTCCAAGGTGGTGGTGGGGGTGCCTCTTTCTTTCTTTGCTTCATTGTTTCCCCTACAGCATTATCATAGTGCTAGGCACATACCAAGGAATCAAAGAACATTTGTTGATTCAGAGATTGATTGATTCTGAGGCACTTGAGTACATTTGTAAATATCCTTTGAGGATCTTGCATCCCATTGGAATAAAACACTTCATGTTTTATTCAGTTCTTTCCCCATATGCAAATGTGCAGGTGCCCCGATGGCATATAGATAACATCATTACACACACACACACACACACACACTCCTGCACACCAAAGAAATGACTGCTCACATAGATGACACGATTAGAGGAAGTATTGGGGTTTAATGCAAGAATGATTGGATATATTCCCCAGATGCTTACGTCCTGCATTTGCAGGGCATCCTTTCCTACAAGCTCCATGAAGCAAGAGTTAGTTAAGCTAGACAACCTGGGATAGAGCAATAAAAACTAGACAAGGAGCCAGGATGTTTTTAGTTCTAGGTCTACAATTCGTAGCTATGTGACCTTGAGCAAGTCACGTCAGCAAGCCAAACTTCAGTTTCTGATCTGTAAAAATGAAATAAAAATAGTTGCTTTGAATAACTTTTATATTGGAATGAAGCATCAAATAAAATCATGTAAATGAAAGTGATTTGTAAACTGTAAAGTGAAATGTGTGAGAGAGTTACAAACTAATTTTACCACAGCCCCTGTCAAATGCTAACGGCCCAACCCTGCAGAGCTGGAAAAAAAAAAAGAATATGTCAATGTTTTTAAAACGGTGGAATCAGATCACTGGGTCCATTTCAAATTGCTATAAAAAGCATATAATTAACTTTCAGGATTTTACATTCCTTGACTATTCAGCAACAGCTGTTTCCATAGTTCTTCCGAGGTATTTGAGTTTTCCTCATATTTTATGCTTTTTTTTTTACAATAATTGGATGTCCCCATCTTCATCACCAAGGAATATATTGATGCTTTTAAATACTATCTATGATATGAAGACGTGAGAAGTCACTTTCATTCCTTATTCAAATTTTTCTATTTCTAAAGTGTATTCTTTCTTTGATTATTTATTCCAATGCTTTAAAATATCAAGATCATGTGTGGATAGGTGTCCCAAACTCATAAATCAGGATGTAATATCTTTTTAATGGATTTTTTTTCCATTTTGAAAACTAAATACATTAAAAACAAAAAACAATATCTACTATGAACTATCACCATCATATTATAAAAGCAAGAACCTTTGAAATAAATGAAGATTAAATTCATGGAAAATTCCTTCTTTTGATTAATAACTTTGTTTTAATTGATATTTTGAATTGTATTTTTAATAAATGATATATTCGATGTGGTTCTACCACTTAAAAGGTACAAAAGAAGGTTCTATCCAAAGTTTTCCCATTTGGTCACTGATCTGCTCAGCTCCCTTTCTCAAAGTCAATTTTTTATCAGTTTTTTGTGTATACTTCTAGAGCTTTTATGCACACACAGATATTTACGTGTTTGTGTGTACTTGTGCGTGTGTGTCTTTACTATACAAATGATAGCATGCCATACAGATTTTTATTCACTTTACTTTCTTCACTTAATAAATTTTGAGATTTCTCCATATCAGCTTGTAGAGAGGATCCTGCCTGGTCTTATGCACGGCAGCATAGTATTCTATGGTATGGATACTCTGCTTACATACCTGCTGACAGACATTTATTTAGATAGATTCCTGCCAACAGACATTTAGGGTGTTACCACTCATTTGTTATTGCAAACAATCTTTGCTGAATGATCTTGTGTATTCACCATTTTATTCATGTGCAATATATCTTTAGAATACATTTCTAGCAGTGAACTTGATCAGTGTAAATGTATGTTAAATACTGACAAAATGCCCTCCTTTGATGTAGCTCCAATTTATATTCTCCCTAGGAAAGCCTATTCCCCCATGTCTTTTTTATAACAAATTTTGTATCTTTGACAAAGAGAGATGAAAAATAGTATCTCTCCTTGTAGTTTGATTTTTGTGTCTCTTAACATGAATGAAGTCAAGGACCTTTTTACATGATTAGTAGCCAATTGTATAAATTTTTCTGTGAACTGTATGTTCACGTCTTTCATCCTTTTTTTTTTCCTTTAGGGATGTTTGTCTTTTTGTTAAAGGCTTATGTGAATTATTTTTATATTACAGAAATTGGTCTTCTGTCCATGATAAGATTTTTAAAGAAGTATTTTTTCAGAGTTTATCACAAGCTTTTGAATGATTATATTTTGCCTTAAGTGTATGTTTTCTAATTTACTGTAGTTTGGTGTATTAATATTTTCTTTTAACTCCAAGATTTGTGAAATGGTTAAAAAGGCCTTCTTTCTACACTATGAGATTATAATTTGTTCTCTTAGTTTCCTCTGGTAACTCTATGGTTTCACTTTTTACCCCTAATTCTTTGATCCAGTTTTAATTTATCCTGGTATAAGACTTAAAGTATGAATTCAACTTAAATTTTTTTCCAGATGGTGACCCAGTTTTCCAACAAAATTTATTGAATAATCCATATTTTCTCACTAATATGAAATGAAAATTTATCATATACTAAAGTCACGTAAGTCTTTTGGCCTATTTCTAGACTTTCAGTTCTGTCCCATTGGCTGCCAGTTTATTCATGTACCAGAACCAAAATTTTATTATTGCAGCATGATATTTTAATATCTGATAATGAATTTCTCACTCCATTTTACATATTTTTAAATTTTGTTCCTTTTCTTTGTTTCTCCATTTGAATTTCAGAATAAGCTTGTATGCTTCCAGAAACAAATCTTATTGACATTTGTATTGGAATCATGTTAAATATAAAAGTTCAGCTCAGGAATAATTGATATAGTCTTATGTTGTTGAGTCCTTTTATCTCACCATATGGTATGTCTAGCGATTTGTGTAGGTTGTTACATTTCCTCAGTAGTGTATTTTATGAGAGTGCGTGCACACACACACAACTTATTAAGTTTATTACTAGAAATTTTATATTTTACACTTGATCTTAGCCAAAAGGCTGAGAAGTGATGATATTTTATATTTTAAAAATCAACCGTAAATGGTGTGTTTCCTTCTAGTAGAGCTTTAACTGTTTATTGTTTTTACATAAGAAAGCTATTTTCTTCCTTTCCCTTTTACTTTACTGAGTTTAGTTTGTAACAGTTTTTAGTTATACGATATACAAATAGGTAACTACAACTTCTAAGTTACATGCCTCTAATTCCTGCCTTTCATATGATCCCATTTGCTAGTACTTCCAGATGATGCTGAATAGCACCAGTGATGTAGGTCATTCTTGCTCTATTCCTAATTTTAACACTTTCTGACTATTAATGCTTCTAGTGTTTTCTTAATAAGCATAATGCTGGCTTTGCAGTTGCAGTACATTATATTATATTAAAGAAATTTAATTTATTTCTATTTTATGGACTCTTCTCTTTTTTCCTTTTTTAAAAAAGCAATTCTAAAATGTAAAGTGCCTTTCTTCAGTACCTATGGAGAAACCTGATAGTCTTCTTTCCTCCTTAAATATAGTGAAATATGGTAGTATGTTTCCTAAGGATCATCTTTTTATTCCTAGAATAAACCCCACTTTGTCAGAATGGTTTATAGTTTTAATTTATTTAGGACTTTTGCATCATATTAGTACATGGAATTCATCTGTAGTTTTATGTTTCTGTGCAATCTTTATCAGGTTTTGATGTACAGTTTCATATAAAGATTATCCCAAGAGTTTGGTAGTTTTCTTTCCTTCCACCGTCACCACTCCGCCCACGCTCTGGAAGAGTTTAAATGAGTTTAATTCTGTTCTGTAAAGGTGTAGTAGAATTTCTGAAACTGGATTTTATGCCTTTGGTGTGTGGGAGAGGGAAGATATTAATAGCTTTCTTATTTCATTTATAGGAACTGGTCTGTTTAATATTTCTAGTATATTGTCTAGTATACTTTCCATTTCATTTATGTTTCCAAGTTTGTATAAAACTGAGCTAGGTAATTTATTTAAATTTCCTCTATGCCTTTGGTGCTACTTCTTATCAATCATTTCTTACTTTGTGCATTTGTGCTTCCTTTTAAAACTGTTTAAATATTTTATTTTATTTTAAAATCAGCTTTTGAACGTATTTGCCTTCCTTTCAGTTTCAACTTCTTTGCTGTGATGGATTTTCTCTGCCATTTAGTTTTTTGTTGTGTTCTATAGATCATGTCTCAGATCCTCCTGTCGCCTTGAGTTCTATTTTTTTGTGTTCTTTCACCAAGATGATTGCTTTAAGTTTTTTATTATTATTATTTGGGCAAAATACTTTATCATAATTTTTAGATCCTCTATCAGTTCCTTTTGGGACACTCATCTTTAAAGGAGGTTTTTGTATTGTTTTGTTTTTTGTTTGTTTGTTTTTGTTTTTTACCTAAGCCAGCAATTGCTGGAGGTTTCTGTTGGCAGAAGTCAGGACCATGTCTCAGGCTAGTTAGAATTTTCTTTATTCCCAGGAGCTTGTATACAAGTTATTTATCCTTGGTTCCTCCACAGCCAAAGAATAAACAAAGGTGGGCAGGTTTCCACAATTTATAGTCTGTTCCTCTGTCAAACTGCTTCAAACAAATCTGACCTGTTTATGTGATTCCCTGCATGGCCTTGCTGCTTCTCCTTGGGACCAAACTGTACTATTGGTGCCAGCCTATGAGCTCTGGTCCCACTATTGCCTGTAGGAATTTAGCTTGCTCCTCAACTGTTTTTTGTTAATCTCTGAAAGGAAAAGGAGAAAATGCTCATTTGTGTTATGTCTTTAAACTGGAAATGTTCGAATATCTTACACAATAAATATGACATTATTTATTTTACATTAAATTAAAAAACAAAAAACAAACATTGAGCCGGGCACAGTGGCTCACGCCTGTAATCCCAGCACTTTGGGAGGCCAAGGCAAGTGAATCACATGAAGTCAGGAGATCGAGACCAGCCTGGCCAACATGGTAAAACTCTATCTCTACTAAAAATACAAAAATTAGCCAGGCATGGTGGCGGGTGCCCGTAATCCCAGCTACTCGGGAGGCTGAGGCAGGAGAATCGCTTGAACCCAGGAAGCAGAGGTTGCAGTGAGCTGAGATCACGCCATTGCACTCCAGCCTGGGGGACGAGAGCAAGACTTTGTCTCAAAAAAAAAAAAAAAAAAAAAAAAAAAAACATTGATATTGCTTTGAATGAAGTAACTGGTAAATATGCATAGTTTAACTCCAGACCTGTATACTTCATTATTGTCTATTTGGTGTCTAACCCGGCACTTGACACATGACCCTTCAATATATATTTAGGTGTTGTTGAACTAATGAATATATGCTATAAATGATACTGAACAATTACCTTAAATCAGGAGTTGCACGCCGGTACAAACATGGCCTGCCAATATGTTCTTTGGGCAGAATAGCATTTGTTAAGCAGGGTGTGCGTTCTGAAGTTCTTCCTACACTCTATTGTTTTGCCTAGCTGCTTTATCCACACACTTTATTTACTTGACCTCTAAAGTTATTGGATATGGAGACCTCTGCAAATACTTGATTAAATATGTCAGATTATATTATCTGGACATTCTTATTTTTTAAAAAAAATGTTATCACACACAAACACAATCTAGAGTTTAGAAAAATTGTAGTCAGCCTGGAGTAAAATTTGGAAGTCAGCTTGAGAGATGATTTAACCCATCCATAGCCTCAGGGAAAACAGTGCTTCATTCATTACAGGAGTCTGCCTTCTGGACCATATATTATACCTTGCATAGAATCCAGGAGGAATAAGTAAAATGAAGTGGCACCCAATGGCTGTCAGTGTCTAGTTACAACTTCTCAGCTTTCTAGAGGTCTGATCCTGTACCAGGTATCCAAGGGCATATGCAGAGAGTGGGAGCTCTGCTCCATATGCCCCTGGAGCTACCCATCTTTCTAACTAGTGATCCATACTCAACCTTTTCCAGGAAGCTCAGCTGAATAGCATGGGCTGTATTTGAGAGTATGAAGATTTTCTCAAGGATTTAGGTCCTCTGATACGTTTCCTTTGAAGTACTCTCAGGAGAAAATGTTCTGAAACAGAGTGAGGCATCACTTCAGCTCTGGCCAGTGAACTCACATTTATTTTATTCCAGGTGAATCCATCTTAGTATAACCTGCCAGCTGAGTACATATAGAGAAGTGAGGAAAAAAGGAGGGACTACACAGGATGATAATCTGATCAATATTCTCTGATCATAATATGTGGATCTTTGCCTCTTCTAAGATCTGACTACTGAGATGCAGGAAGCTACATCTCAATTCCTGTTCCTTCGGTCCTGACCCTACAAGAGTCAATTTCCATTCCCTTCAGCAAGTTAGAGTTAAAGATGGTTCACGGAGACTGGAATAAAGCAACACCCTAGAAAAAAACTTCATCAGAGCAATGCTAGTTTCAGAGTACTGTGGAAGCCTCCTCCACTAAGGGTAGGACAAACAGATTTCCAGCCCTACATGTCCTCTTCTTGGGAACTGCTAAGAGTTTTTCAGCTTCTATGGAGTAAAAAACCATAGAACAAATCGAGAACTTTAGAACGCTAAAGGAACTTAAAAACTGTCTATCCCAATCTCCTTATTTTATGGAGCAGATAGCAGAACTCCAGGGAAGAACTGTTACTTACCCAAGGTTACAGAACTAGTCAATTGCTCTTTCTGAGGCTCTACACTGCTTCACTTTACCAATTTCACTGTACACGTATTATATGCCAGATATGATTAAGGGTTGTGAGACACATGAACATAAGACAAGTTCTTGCTTTTGAAGAACTTTAAGAGAGGTAGGAAAAAATGATCATTTCAGGAGGCAAAACATTTAAATTTAGGGCCATATTTTCTCAAAAGATTAAGAACAGATTATATTCTTAATCTTTTGATTACAAAGAGACAAAGAGCATTCAAACAGCTGAACTCTTATTGTATTGCCCACCAAATACAATAGCAAGAAATATATAGAAACTGTCTATTACTGATGGTTCTCTTCAATAGTGTTAACAAATCTGGATCCCTGGATTCATTTGATTCCCTAAAGCCCACAGCCAAGTGTCTTCAAGGACAGTGGGGTGACTGCTGCAATAAGGAAATGAGGCAGGAGAGAGGGCATTCTGGCTCTTTTGGCAGAACCTAGTGTTCTTGGTGGTGGCGTGTTCAATCACAGTAAATTTTTGCCTTACTTGGAAATACAGAACAAGAATTCCAGTGTATACATAGAAACATATACAGAAGAACAAAACTATTAGGATTTCACACCAAAACCCTTTAAATAGGAATTTATTAAACATTAATTGTTCCCTCTTTCAGTACAGAGACAGGACCTATGTTTTTGGAAATGCTCCCAAAATAGGTAACATGTTCATACCATTTGCTTCCCATATCCTCTTCTGAGATTTTCACAAGTTTCCTAAAATAAGATAGCAATGCACATAAGGAGCTATCAGAACATAAACAGTACATCGAGCTCCCGGCAGCCATCAAGGTGATAGCTGAGCTGGGTCCTACAAAGAGAAAGACTGCACCATGAAGAACAGTGGGAAGGCATATCTACAAGAGGAAAGAATATGGGGACACACACATACAGACAGAGAGCTATACCAAAGAATGGCATGTGAGGAGCTATATGCCAACACCCTCTTTAAAAAGGGGGAAGCTGGCCGGGTGCGGTGACTCACACCTGTAATCCCAGTGCTTTGGGAGGCCGAGGCAGGCAGATCACAGGTCAGGAGATCGAGATCATCCTGGCTAACACGGAGAAACCCCGTCTCTACTAAAAATACAAAAAATTAGCCGGACGTGGTGGCGGGCGCCTGTAGTCCCAGCTACTCAGGAGGCTGAGGCAGGAGAATGGCGTGAACTCAGGAGGCGGAGCTTGCAGTGAGCCGAGACTGCGCCACTGCACTCCAGCCTGGGCAACAGAGCGAGACTCCGTCTCAAGAAAAAAAAAAAAAAAAGCGGGGGGAAGCTGAGACCAAAAGTAACCAGGGCAGGTCCAGGAGTAGTAGCTAGTTAGTAGCAAAGCAAATGGAGAGCCCCAGTTTTCTGACTCCCATGCCTGTTGCGCCTATTCTTAGCATCTCTGCCTCTGACCTCACATCTCTAGAAGGCCGCAACAAACAGGGGAGGCAGGATGTACCTACAACATTCCTTTGTTTTTTCCAGTACTCTACTAGTGTCTAAAATATCTTTGCTATAGCAAGCTAGCTTGCTTTTTTGGCAAGCTTGATTAGAGCAAGAAAAAGTGCTGAATTTCCAATATGCAAATTAAGTTAAAGGCTACCCAGGGATGAAGGAGCCCTACAGGAATGCTTTATTGACTGCTGCAAATTTACCCAAATAACTATTTTTTAAAAACAACAACAACAAATAAATTGAGTTCCAACCTCCTTTGTTCTTCCCTTAGGAGTCACATGTTTTTCACCTCTAATTTCATATCATTGTTGAAGTGGTGCATTGTGCATTATTTATAAATGGAATTCAAATGAAGGTGGCTACACTAAGAAACTAGAATTAGATTAATCACAAAATGTATGGCTAATAGCCATTTGCTCTTTAAGTGCTTCGTTTTAGTGGGTGTAAACAGGGAGTAGAATTTAATTTTCTTGGCTAGTATTAGCAGAAAATATATAAAATACTGTGTGTTCTTTCTATAGTTACTCCAGGAGTATTTGTGCAATTATAGCCTTTTTGTCCCCAAGGAAATCAATCTAAAATAAATAGTGAGGGCTTCTGAGAGGTATACTGACATTAGGGAGATTGTATTTTTAAAGAACAAGAAATTAGGTGGCTCAGAGAACAGTTCTATGTTGGTATCGTTGTACTACTTGGACTGGGTTAAGATGACAAACCTCTTAATAAGTACCAAACTTATTAAGCCCCCTTGCATGGTGTCTTAAAGTGTTGGAGCCATAAAATTTAAAATTTTAATCCAATTAGGCTCCTATTAACTCAAGAGATAGTTAGAATTATGGCTTTATGGGTCTCCCTGCTTCCTTCCTCAAAATGAGGGGTTATGACTTTGAACCACGGAAATTAGCTTTATCTATGAAGTTGGAAGAAGATCAGTACATTCAGCAGAGGATCAGCTTCTTCCCGCATTCCTGTGTGGACTTCAGGAACATGACACATTGCTCCACAGCTCCTTTTGGTCCCCATGTGTCCCTCATTATTTGGAAGTCCTGGGCAAGCTCCGCAGGATGAGGGAGTATAAAGAAAATGGGCTGCCTAGCTGTTGTAAACCCAAGCTCTGGAATCAAGCAAACTTACGTTTGATTTTGGCTTGATCCTCACAGGCAATAAGAGCTGGCATAAGTAGCTTGAGATACGCCTCAGTTGTATCTTCAGTAACATAGCGATAATATTGCCTACCTCCCAGGCTCCTTGAGAGGAGGAAATGATACTTATAAAGTTTTGGACACACGGCAATTGTCCAACTCTAAGAAGATTTTCTTACAAAACGGGAGAAGAAGATTTTCTTACAAAACAGGAGAAAACAAGATAGCTCAGGCTTTTGGAGTCTTTCTATGTGCCATGGGCTGTGTCGAGTGCCTTACTGTATTAGCAAAGTGATACTTCTTCCGTCTATTCAGTGGCAGAACCAGGGTGAAATCCAGCAGCCTGGCTCCTGAATGTGAGTGCTTAATCACAAAGCTTTGCAATGGGCCCTCCTTGGAGCAATGTGACCTAGCATAATGACCCAGGAACATTCTGTGCCTCCATTTCCCCATTAAAAAATGAGAACATAAGAAAAGCAAGCCTGCCACTAAGGTTCTGAGTGTCTGGTATGCTTTCAGACTGCCGTGGGCATTAGGCAGCTGACACATATATTCCATACCTCTCTTTAGGGTCTGTTGCCAGCCTGGCAGATATTTGTGGGTTTCTGATCAGCACCTTAAAGAAAACAAACAAAAATAAAAACAGAGATAAACCTGCAGTCACTGTCTTTATTGGAGCAATTTCTAATTCAAACAGTAAGTGCTTGTGACTAAATGAAAATGCAATGGTAGTTAATAACTGTTATTCTCCTCTAATTTTAAAATAATGTGAAATCAGTTTAGTAAGACTGGAGTGAACAAGTATAAGGTGAATAAACTCGTACAAATCTCTACCACAGTCAAAATGACAGCCTCAGAAACTCATTTACAACTGTAGACTATATCTTCTGAGCTTTCAGAATAAGGTGGGAGTTCAAGTTCATGGTCTTATGGTCCAACTTTAAGATATATCCTGAATCAGTCCTTTTTTTTTTTTTTTTTCTTTTTGCAGGGACATCAATAACCCTTCAGTCTAATCCAAGGATCAGCAAGTTATCTCTAAAAAGTTAAAGATAGTAAATATTTTAATCTCTGTGGGCCATAGTGTCTCTACAGCAACTACTCTACTCTGCTGTGTAGAGCAACAGCAGCCATAGATAATACAGAAATGAAAGGACATGACTGCATCCCAATAGAGTTCTATTTACAAAAATGGGTGATAGGCTGAGTTTGACCCATGATTGTAATTTGCCAGCCCATGGTCTCAACCACCGTGACCTTTCAACATCTTCAGTTACTGTTCTTACTCCTTCATTATGAACCCTGTCTAACTAAGGTTCTAAAAGGATATGCCACTTCCTTGCCTAAAATGCTGCATTGCATTCTTATTGTACTTAAGTTAGAAGCTAAACTTCTTGGCATGGCATCCAAGGTCCACATATTGGGAGCCACCTGTCAATCCAGTGTTTTCTCACGTTGTGCTCACTTCAGCTCACTTTATTTCTGTGTTTTTCAGCTTGTCAATTCAGGGCCTTTGCACACGCTGTTTGTTTCCTTCCCTTCAAAGTCCTCCTCCTCACTTTCTGCTTCCCAATCCTCCAATTCAAATTAGATCATTTCTCATACCTCCCATAGTATTCTACACTCTCCCTTCAGAGCACTTAACTAATTCAAAATTAAATGCTCATTATTTGTGCAAGTATTCATTTAATAGTGGTCTTCCCTACTAGACTTAGTGCCTTAAGAGCAGGAGTTAGTCATGTTTGGTTATCACATACTTCTGACAAACAGTAGATGCTCAACAGCTGCACATTAATTGCATGAACAAGTTGTTTAGTTCTAAATGTTCAAATATTTTTATGAAATTCAGTCATCTTCCTTCCTTGGGAGAACAAAAAAATGTCTGGGACCAGGATGATTTCTTTTCTATGTTACAAATGGAGAAATAGGCCCAACAATGACTGTACGAGTTACCAGGAAGAGTTTGATTAAAAGTCCAAGCATGTTTTCCCAGCTTAGTAGTTTCCTGAGACACTTAGAAGTCCCACGGGTTCATGTTTGAGAAATTGCCATGTAATTTCAACCTTGCCCTTGCTGATGTCTTTGGAAACCTTCCAGTCAATTTCCCAAGGCTGAAACCTTTTGTGCTGGAATGATGCTTATTCTGGGAGCCCTGATGCCATTATCACCTTCATTTCGGGTATTGACCCAGCACAAGAATTGTACATTTACTATGTGCTAATTTTAAAAAGTTTACAGAGCTAGGCTCCTCTACAGATTTTCAAGAAGACATTTGTGGTTCTAGGCACCTTCTCTGGAATCATTAGGCAACAAATTTGCTTGGAAATTTCTTTCATTGTGTCTCGGTGGAGATGAAATATGGTCACTTGCTGGGAAGAAAACAACAATAAAAGGAGAGAAAAATCTTTCTAAGTGCTCCCTAAAAACAAGGAAATCTGATATGCAGACTGTGTGCTGATACTATTATGAGACTTCTAACTCAGAGCTGTAACAGATGGGCGTTTTCTGTCTTTGGTGATAAGGTGAATGACTTCCCCCAGGGATGTGTGGGGAGAACTGCTGAGTTGGCCGTGTTGGTGCCAAGCATCTGGCTGCTGACAGGATTATAGGCAGAGATTGGCACTGTGGGGAGGGTGGGTTGATAACATGGAGACAGAAGACTGGAAAGCAAAAATAGCCCCTCTTTCTTATCCATCTGTAGCTGGAACTTTAAGCAACCCATTCTGAATAGTGAATGAGGCAGCCAAGAGAGGCTAAAGATGGGTACCCATTCATTCATTCCTTTATTCATTCAACAACCATATTGAGTAACTGGTATGTGGCAGCTATTATGCTGGCTCCTGAGGAATGAATTCACAGCAGAAATGAATTGATTTTACCCTCAGGAGGCTCCCAGCTTGGGGAAGGAGATGAATACTGAAAAAAAAAAAATAAGCTTGATAAAGTGTTATTGTGAGCAGAAAAGGCCTCATAGTGATGGGAATTCAAGATAAAAATTTGAAAAGTCAATGGGTATTTCCTGTGAGGATGTAAGGACTGGGAGGGGGAGCAAGTATGATTTAGATAGAGAATGAAGCATAAACAAAGAAACTAGAGGGACCTCTCTAGTTTCCTCTCTCTCTCTCCACCCTCCACTGGTCCCTTGCTAATGTCATGCCCATCTGCTTGCAGTTTCCTTATGAAGCATCATCATTTTTTGTTTCTGCTCTTTTCCCATGGTGTAATTTCTACCTGGATTTCCTGTCCTTCCCCCTTGAGTGCTCCTGGAACAGTAGAGAGCTTTGTAGACCATGTTGGACAATTTGAACCTTATCTGAAGGCCCTGAGGAAATATTAAGGATGAATAAGCAGAATAGTTATGGTCATATTTGATTTTAAGAAAGTTCACTTTGGTTTTTTAAGGGAATGAGCTAGAATGTGAGGCTGGAGCACATTCGGAGACAGATACAATCATTCACTCAGACGTATTGAGGACCTGAACTAGAACAGCAATAGTTGTCAGAGACCAGCCTGGGTGTGAAAGATGTTACAGAGATAAACGCAAACACAGCTGATTGGTTACAAAATAATTTTTTGTCCTTTGATTGGTTGGGTAAATAATAGTAACAACACTGTATAATTGAAGAAAAGTGAAGAAGCAGAGCTTAGGGAAAGATTATTGATTCATCGTGCGTTGGTGATATTGGTTTGGGATTCAATGTTAGAAGTACACTTTTGACATCCAAAAGGAAATGTTAGGTGGTGATGTCACATAGCGATTTGAAACTCAAGAGACAGAAGCCATGGCTTTTATCAGTTAGGATAAGCTAGGTTATGATGTAGTAAAAATAAAAATCTCAGCAGCTTAAAATAACCAAAGTTAATTTCTTCCTTACTCTACTATCTACTGTAGGTCAGCAAGAGTGTTTTGCTCACTGCAGCCACTCGCAGACTCAAGCTGCGAGAGCAGTCACCATTTTGAAAGTCATTGGCTATTGGGCCAGAGGGAAAAGAGAGGTCTGGAAGGTCTTGTCTTGGTGATTAAATGTTTGACCAGAAAGTGACACTTGACATTTCTGCAAAGAACTAGTCAGTGGCCACACCTAGTTTCAGGGAGCCAGGAGTGCATTCCTCCTGGAAGGAAGGAGAGCTGGAAATATTTGGCAAATAGCAGTAATGACTACCACAGGACCAGAAATAAAGACCTAGGTATGATCAGCATGTAGGTGGCAGAAAGGCTGTGGCAGTGGATAATCCCATAAAGCTACATAGAGATTAAAAAGAAGGAAGCTAAATCAGAGTCCTAGGAAAGCGTCTATATTTAAGGTACTTTGCATGGGGGAAATAAAGTCACAGAGAGAGGATGAGACGAAATAGTCAAAAAAGTATCAGGAAAACCAGAATGGCATCACAAAAGATTATGAGAACATTTCAGTAAGGGAGCATTTCAATAGTGACTGACTGAATCTTTCTTTTGAACAGTAGCTAAGCTGCCCTGATAAGATGATGGATAGACATCTTTGTCTTTTTTTAAACAACTGGTGCATTATAGTCATTAATTCCTAGAGTTGACAGGGTCCTCAAAGGTCATCCAGCTTACCTACCCACCAAATATCAGAACCCTCACAATGACAGGTTACAAATCTCTATCTTAAATTAACCTGGAATCTTTCCCTTTGTGCTTGTATCCATGGTTCTGCCCTCTACAATCACAGTTAAAGGGAGGTTTTTATTTCTGTTATCCACTCAACCTTATAATATCATTGAATAGCAGATAGGGTTGATGACAGATTTCTAAGACATAATTAATTTGCATAAAAAGCAACTTTTTTTTTTTTTTTGGAGAGATGGAGTCTCACTCTGTTGCCCATGGTGGTCTCCAACTCCTAGTCTCAAGTGATCCTCCCACCTCAGCCTCTGAAAGTGCTGGGATTACAGGCATGAAGCACCATGCCCAGCCAGGCTTGTTAGAATTTAGGTCTGATTTCCAGATGGAAGCTCAGTTATCCAAACTACAGTTCCTCTTTTGATTTAAGCAGAAAAGACAGGAGGTGAGGCAGGAGAGATAAGATGAGATGATATAGTATAATTTTTAAAAAAATTAAAGATTGGCTGGGCATGGTGGCTCATGCCTATAATCCCAGCACTTTGGGAGGCTCAGGTGGGAAGATCATTTAAGTCCAGGAGTTTGAGACCAGCCTAGGCAACACAGTGTGACCCCATTTCTAAAAAACAAAAAATTAAACATTATTAGCATAGGATAATATATACTCTATTTGGCTTCTAACTCTGTGAGCAGACAAATCACTTAACCTCTCTGAGCAGAAATGTTTCCATCAGTGAAATGAATGCCTGTTCTGTATTCCTCACCTGGCTGGTTGTTATTAGAAAAGATGAAAGTAACAGCTATGAATAAAATTCATATCTTTAATACAAAAGGTGGGAAGAGATAAAATAGAAAAGAGGACAACACAAGATTCAGGTTGCACCAGTCATGGGCAGACATCAGCTACTCAGACCAAGAAACAAGCTGAGCTTGGAGGCCAGTAGTTGATTTAAGGAAACCCCGTCCTGTATTTATTGCCATAGTAATATTGTATAACAATAACAACAACAATAATCACCTCAAAACCCCTGGGTGCACAATGACAAACATTTATTTTAATTCATGAAGCTATGGGTCTGATGGATGTTCTTGTGTTATGAACTAGGTCTGGCTAATTTTGGCTTGCCTTAGTCATGTGTATACAGTCAACTGGCATGTCAGTTGTGGGTTGGCTGGTCTAGGATGGCCTGATGTAGAGAACCCTCCTCCATGTGGTCGCTGATGCTCCACTAGCAGGCTGGCCTGGGGGTGTTCACCGGTGTCCAGGAGAAGCCCTCTTGAAGCTTAGCATCATAATTGACACACCCATCATTTCTGCTGCCTTGTATTGTCCAAAGCAAATCATGAGACCAAGCCCATGTTTAAGTGGTATAAAAATTGACCTTAATTTTTAATGGCATACATTTTTGTAATCAGTTTATCACAATCTTTTCTATGGTAGTCTGTAAGCAAGTTGAGAAAGTTGTTCAAATTCATAAGGAATGCTACAGAAATGGAAAGACCTCTCCCTCCTGCCGCCAAGGGAAAAGCCAACAGCCATGGAGAACAATGAAATGAGAAGCCACTTCCAGGGAGCAGAAGTGAGGTCTAATCAAGGAACTCTCCCCATGTCTGGAGTGAAAGGCCTAGAAACATTTACTCAGGAGGATTTAAGAGTTGCTATGAACCAATTCCTGGTGTTTACCTTCTGTTATGTCCCTTTTTTGAGTGGAAGTGTTTGTTGTAGTCGTTTTATTCCTCTTCATCATTGTATCTTTTGTGTTTCGGGGACATAACCTGTCTTTATATTCAGAGGCTGTGGATTATAAGCAGCTGCATCCAGACATGATGTCAATCACAAGATCTTGGTGGAGGTCCTGAAAGGGACTGAAACTTGAGAGAAATACTTGTGGCTAGAAGAAAGACTATGGTAGACTACAAAACTGGCTGCAAGTCATTGCTCCTCCCTGAATTCATGTTCTTTGCAGTGTGACCTTGTATCCATTTCAATCAATAGGTGGAGCCTATTTTCCCATACCTTGAATCTTGGCTGGTCTTTGACTTGCTGTAGTTAATAGAATGAAAAAATATGATGGTGTGCCATTTCTGAGGCTAGACCTCAAGAGGTCTTGACAACTTCCTTTCTCTCTAGGGACTTGTGCTTAACCCATGAGAATAAGCCAGACTGGAACGCTGGATGATGAGAGACACATGGCCCAGTCACTCATCACACTAGCCGACAGCCATACATGTGAGAAGCTAGTCCAGAGCTTCTCCACCAGGTGACCACAGATACTTAAGCAAGCCCAGCTGAGCAAAGACTAGAGCCGATCAGCAGGACCGTCCAGCTGACATGTAGACCTATGAGAAATAATAAATGCTTAATTTTTAAGCTGCTGAGTTGTGTGTGTATGTGTTACTCGGCAATATCTAACTAATACAACCTCAGTTTATTCCCCAGCATTTGGGAGACATTTCCACAACACCATGCCTTGCAGATGAAGAAAACACAAAAAAGATAAAAGAAAGTCCCATCCTGTCAGCTCTGTTGTCACCATAAGTGCTAGCACATTGTGGCTGTCTCTTTTGAAATAAGCCTAGGTTTGTGTCGTCCTTCAAACCACTGTTTTGCACTGCTCTCTTTCTTCCTCTTTCTCTTTATCTCTAAACCTCTGACAGTCCTTCTCCCATCAGTATCTAGGGATATATCTAACAGAGTGGGAAAGCAAACAGAAAACCAGTGGCTTTGAACTTTCAAAACAGAAAAATACTGTCATTCTGCTAGTTTCCCTTCTCTTGATAGAGAGAGAAGGAGAGAGTAAGTAATGACTATCTGGAGAATTCTCAGGAACGAGAAGTCCAGAAACACCATGCAAATGGCCTCTAGTATAAGGAAACATGGGTTATTTTTCTCTTTTTGTTTTGTTTTGTACTTGCTTCTACTGGGAAAGCGAAGAATGAACCTTAAAAGACTCTGAAACAATAGGCGGCCTTAAATGTGCCATATCTTTAATGCTGACCAGTTAGGCATTTGGAGTATGGAGATTTGGGTATGGGGAGAAAACAGTGATAATGTCTAACTATAAGAAGTTAATAAACTGAGAGAGAGGCAGGGCTGCATAAAGGAAAAGGCATGGTTTGTGGTCTGGGATCAGAGTTGCTAGCTTTGACTCTTCTTATACAACGTGGCCTCTCTTTACCCAATTCGTTGTATAATCTTGGCCTGGTTACTTACCCTCAGAGTCTCTATCAGAAAATAGATATACTTGGTAAAGCTAAGAAGGAGTAATGTTGTGTTCATTAGATGAATCAATGTATGTGCCAGAAAAAAACAGGGGGTTTCATTTTGCCTTAATTATTTTAGAAAGCAAGTCTCTGGGGTTCAATAGTTTATATTATCTAGATAGTTTCAAAGGAATGCTTCATTTCACTTGAGTCAAAATAAATCTAGACACCCTTGAGAAAAAAAACTGACATGGTTTGTGTCCTATTATTTTAATCAATGAGCTTGTGCTCCAGGTCTGTGCTAGGGACTACCATGACATAGAAGAGTAAGGTGTCCCTGTTCTTAGAGAAACAATTTGTAAAAGACTCAAGCTAGGAAATTGTTAAGTGGTATGTTTGTTGGTACTAACCACATGTGCTGCAGATATTTAAAGGAGGAGGAAACTAGAGTCCAGCAGATCAGTCTTTACCTAATTAATGAGATATTCAAAAGGTAAAATGTTACAATTAAAATTCCAATTTAAAAAGTCCAGCCATACAAAGAAATAGGAAAATGTGATTCATAATGAGGAGAGAATGCGATCAATAGAAAGAAACAGAAATGATACAGATGATAAAATCAATAGAAAAAGGCATTAAAAGTTATAACTATTACCTATATGTAATATAGGTTACATATTAACCTATATGTAACCTATAAGTTACATATTAACCTATATGTAACCTATAAGTTACATATTAACCTATATGTAACCTATAAGTTACATATTAACCTATATTATGGAGGTTATAGGAAATGGGCCTAGAGTTGGGTCTTAAAAGATGAAGGAAGGGGGCACACTGGGTCCCAGTAAGACAAGAAGAGACTATGTGCTAGACATGGCGCTCAGTGATTTACATGTATACAATGCCTCATTTAGTACTCAGAAGAACTGGAAGAAGATGTATTATTATCCTTGTTATAGTTCCACAGAGGTTAAGATGTTTACCAAAGCCACACAGTAAATGCTGATAGTAGGTAGGAAAACAAATGTCTTTGACTCTAAGGCTCATGTTCTTCTTACTGAGCCCTACTACTGAGCCCTTGTCCCAGGGACAAGAAGGAACATGCTGTGTTGCTTGTCAGTGAAGTGAACCACCAAGAAATACAAAGAATGTGTGTTGAAGAGCCCAGAGGTAATGCTGAATAGGTAAGGTGATGCCATCATAGTTTGGAAGGTCTGAAAAGAGTTGGAGCATCTAAGCATGATTTCTTGGGAGATACGGCCATTGGTGTTTTTTCTCAACCTGTCACTAGAGAGAGATACAGTCAAGCCTCCGTTTTCCTAGGGGAAGACTTGTTTTTCTACTCTGGGTGGAGAAAAATTATTAAAAAGTCTTGATTATCAGAATTTGGCCCCTAGTTTTTCTCATCATAACACAGTCCAGTATGTATGTTCTGAAATATCCATGGGCCCGCCTTTGACTGATGCAGACACAGTGAGGATCTTATGGAAGAGACAGAGATGACTGGAAGAGGTTGAGTAGGGAACATGTCTGTTCCAGCTTTCCTAATACTTCATCATCGGAAGAGCCAGGGGTATAGAAAATGGAATTAAAAGCCCCAAGTTAGAAAACAATGGCTCCCTTATTTTGTGTCAGGGAGTCAGACTGGTAGAGTGCCAATAGGTTTCATCATGCTTAGAATTTGATTATCTAGCACCCTGTCATTCTCAATCCATTATCCTGATTTCTTCTCTATAGCACTTATCACTTCACAACATTTTATTTTATATGAATTTGTTTATCTGTTATATAGATGCCCCACTGAAATATAAGTCTAATGATGGCAGGGACTTGACTTGTTTACTGTTAGCTTTCCAGAACCTGAAAATACTGCCTGGTACCAATAAATATTTGTTAGGTAAGTAAAGCTGATCATTGTATTAATCATTTCACTTATATTTATGGACTGATCATGGTAGTCAGGCCCTGAGAAATAAAACAGAGCTCATAACCTGGCGGTTCGAATGATAAAGAAGTGTTGGAAAAGCTGGAACAGACAGATTTCTTACCCAACCTCCTCTGGTCATATCTCTCTCTTGCGTAAAGATAATCCTTCTGGAATCATCATCAAACAGGGACTCCTCAGGACTAAAGATAAAGGGCCACAGATCTGAGGAGCCACTATACAGACACATGCTCAGATATAATCTGAAAAGTGCAATGCAGAGGTGTATGTAGAAAATAGTGGGAGTACAGAGAATGGATCCTAACCAGAGGAATCACCTGACCCCAACTTTAAAGAATAAGTAGGCTCTGGGTTAGGTTAGAAATCAATTGACCTATGTGCATTAACCCCCTTCTTTGAGGAATCCGGGGCACAGAGACAAGTGAGGTAGGGACCAGAGGTATGAGGAAGCCAAAATTATGTATTTAGATAACAGAAATCCAGAAAGATTTTTTTAAAAGGCACATGATGGGCCACCAAACATAAGTGCCAGAAGCGAATATTAAATACAAGGTAAAAGTCCAGAAATCCAGATTGATGGGCACAAGAACAACATAGAGTGGTGAAGGTAAGAACAAAAGAGGCAAAGATATTGAATAGTTTTGCAGAACAGGCACTAATGTTAAGGATTGCTTTGACAGGTAGACTGGAGATTGGGGCTGGTCCAACTAAGAGGAGAAGGCTCAGAAAAGACTCAGCCTACCTATGGCTATACTTACCTATTGTCCTGGGGCCGTCAGCCAGGAGAGCTGCATTCTGGATCTTAGTTCCACCTAAATACAGTTTGCTTCTTTTTATCCAATGTGGATATAGAAAGCAATGCGAGGAAAGATGGGAGAAAAGAGAAGCCAGAAATAGAGAAAGAGGATTAAGTGTGTAAAAGATATGAAGGAGAGAGGAAAAACAATTTTTATAAAGGTATAAGGGGAAGAAAGTTAAAAAATAAAACAAGAAAGAAAGGAACTTTCCAGCCCTTATTAGGTTTGAGTGCTAGTGGTTATTTAAGTGGTCCCTTTGGATGGGTAGACACGTTGAACATTTCACTTCTGCTTTGTTTATATTTATAAACCATAAAGTCAAGCTCAGATTTCTGCTAGAAAAGCACTTTTAGAAGGCAGTGAGATCTTATCTTTCATTTTCTATAGATCAGTTTCACAGCCTCTTGAAGTACTTATAGTTTTAATACATAACCATAAATGCCCCCTAAACAAGGAATATTGCACCTTTCGATTACTATTATTGCTTTATTGCTCATCACAGCCATAAATTAGCAACATCCTCCGGCATACTGAAAGAGCACTGAATTAGGTTACAACACGAATACACAAGAACCTATTAAAGTTTTGCTATTTCTTGAAAGTCTTTATAGTTTTCTAGTGTGCCCCATAAGTGTTTCAATTAAAGAACTACTTGCCTGCTCAGTAATAGCCTTCTTGTTTGAGATAGGATTGCATATCAGAAAAGCAAGATTAAAAGAAGGAAAATGGAATATAAAACATTAAAAATGAAATTGCTATAAAAAGGAAGGCAAGAGTTTAAATTACGCATATTAAAGCTATTTCAACCATTTAACTCTATTTGATACAAGCTGATGTACATACATATATTTCTATATCAAGTCTATAGCTAAAATTGTGTGTATGCATGCATTTACATACTTTATTCTCTCAATGACTCTAGTGCCATCTGACATTTTTATTGGAGTTCTTGACCACATGACCAATTATTGAAAAGTTATAACCAACAAGATGAGGACAATTATGTTGTTTATGATGATATAACAGCTTGGAGCTACATACCACGTAGAATATCATGATTACAAATCAAATACAATACAAGAGAAAAATTATTGAGAGCCAGGAGATCTACACCTTGATTATAGCTCTGCTAGTAATCTCTGTAAATAAGATATTTATCTTTCAGTTCTAGGTTTCCTTGGGCACCAATAAGTTGATAACATGTGAAGTATTCATTTTAAATATGTATCAAGTAACTACTAGGCATTATGGGAAATTTAAATGACTAAAAATTACATTGCTTATCCTCAAGGGGCTAATAGTTTATTTGGGGGTAAGAAAAACATACATTTGGGTATATGCAATGCAAATGGTACTGTTTCTAGCTAGTATGTAAAAAGTCACAAAGGACTATCACTCCTACATTAACAAGGAGAACAAGGTACATATGCTACAAAAACATAGCTTGTGTGTGTTTGTGTGTGGGAGGGCTGTGGTTAAACACATTGAAGTGCTGAGAATGCAAAGCAACCTCCTCAAAGTGATGACAAAAGGGTCCCACAATGGCTCTCATGCCTGGTGGAATGATAGTCATGATCGTCTTCCTCTCGTCTTAATAATGAGAATAAGCCAGATAAGCCACAAAATTCGTGGGTTTTCTCCAGTCCATTAGAGAGACAAGAATGCAAAAAATACAAGAAAGGAAAAAAAACCCCACAAAATTTCAGAAGTTGGCAAGCTCTTTTTAAGAGAGAAGGAACCGATTTCATTTCCGGTAGAGCAGCAGGATGAGGAAGAATCCACAAGAAATAGAGATACAAAGAAACAAGTCAAACTTTTAGCAAATGTTTAACTTTCTCTTGAGCCTTCATTGCATATGAGGGGAAATATTCTAAAAGATTAGGGCAAGGCAGGAAAGCTGAGAGTGGTCCTTCATTTTAGGCATGCAAGACCATCTTCAGGAATACTGCAGCAACCTTCAGAACAATGTGGACAGAAAAAGTGACCTGATAAAAATGCCTCCAAGGCATCTGACCTATACAGTATGTAAGATAGCTTCTCTTCAAAGGCTAGTGTAAGGATAGCTGAGTGGAAATAGATCTTCCAAGGTACAGTGATCTGAGGGTGAGACTGGAGACCAAAGACAACACCCTAGTCACCCAAAAAGGCTGGCAGCTTTCCTGAAAATGAAATTTTCTCAAGGTTCAGAAAGCTGGCAATGAAATACAGTTTCTTAAGAGCTCAGATACTAAGTTTGCCAGAATTGTAGTCCTGATTCTGCTCTCAAAACATTTGAAGTTAGTGGTAAACTAAATCTAAGTTGCAACAAAGGCCAAACCCAGACCAACTAGAGATTAAATTAGCTTAATCATCACAAACTGCAGTCTACCAGAAAAATAGAATGTCCAATTGGGGAGATAATATGTACTTCAGTCTCTACTGTTCTTTTACATATAATTCATGCATACCATTTAACAATGCACAGAGAGGCAGGAAAATGAAATTCCCTAGTCAAGAGAGAAACAAAGAATAGAAGTAGACCCAGTGAGTACTTAGATATTGAAATCACAAAAAGGACTTTAAGATATACATAGACAAATATTTTAATGAATCTAGGAGAGAAGTTGGACATATACTCTAAAAGATGGAGAATTTCACCAGAGAGATAGAGACCATGAAAAGAGACAAGTGGGTCTACAGAGGCTTCCTCTCTAGTGTTCAGCTAAGTAATAATCAGCACATGTATATGAGAAAGTTACCTAAGTGTATTTGTCAAGGTTCCCCACAGAAACAGGCTGAGATCATCTGAAAGAGGCAAAGCTATCAATCTCTGGAACTTCCACAGAGCCAACACAAGATTATGCTCTTATTATCCAGAGAGCAAAAAATCTTCATAAGTTGTGTCACTCCAGTAGAATACTCAAAAGGGTATTACCTCCATAGTAGGGCAAAATTAAGCTTAAAGGGCTCTGTGATCTCAACTATCAAACTTATAAATAAGTCTTGAAATAATCAGTTTACAAGAAACTTAACTGTACCCTAGAGAAAAATTTAAGAATATTTATAAGAATTCAATAAGATATTCAAAAGGTAAATTGTTACAATTAAAATTCCAATTAAAAAAGTCCCGCCATATGGCTGGACGTAGTGGCTCACAACTGTAATACCAGCACTTTGGGAGGCCAAGGCCTGTGGATCACGAGGTCAGGAGATCGAGACTATCCTGGTTAACACAGTGAAACCCCATCTCTACTAAAAATACAAAAAAATTAGCTGGGCATGGTGGTGGGCACCTGTAGTCCCAGCTACTCAGGAGGCTGAGGCAGGAGAATGGCATGAACCCGTGAGGTGGAGCTTGCAGTGAGCCGAGATCGTGCCACTGCACTCCAGCCTGGGAGACACAGTGAGACCCCATCTCTACTAAAAATACAAAAAAATTAGCTGGGCATGGTGGCGGGCACCTGTAGTCCCAGCTACTCAGGAGGCTGAGGCAGGAGAATGGCATGAACCCGTGAGGTGGAGCTTGCAGTGAGCCGAGATCGTGCCACTGCACTCCAGCCTGGGAGACACAGTGAGACCCCATCTCTACTAAAAATACAAAAAAATTAGCTGGGCATGGTGGCGGGCACCTGTAGTCCCAGCTACTCAGGAGGCTGAGGCAGGAGAATGGCATGAACCCGTGAGGTGGAGCTTGCAGTGAGCCGAGATCGTGCCACTGCACTCCAGCCTGGGTGACACAGTGAGACTCCATCTCAAAAAAAAAAAAAAAAAAAAAAAAGTGCAGCCATACAAAGAAATAGGAAAATGTGATTCATAATGAGGAGAGAATGCAATCAATAGAAACAGACAGAAATGATATGGATGATAAAATCAATAGGCAAAGGCATTAAAAGTTATAACTATTACCTATATGTTTAAAAAGATATAGAAATATTTAAACATGTTAGGAGAGATAAAGATATAAGAAGGAAAAAATCAAGTTTCAAAAGATTCTTTTAAAGTCTGAAATTAAAAATACACTAGATGGGATTAATAGCAAATTAGAAATTGCAGAAGAAAAGATTAGTAAACTTGAAGATGTAGCAATAGAAATTATACAAAATGAAATACAAAGAAAAAAAGCCTGAAAAGGGGAACAGAGCATGAGGGATCTGGGAGACAACCTCAAGTGGCCTAATTTATGTGTAATTGGAATCATCTAAGGGGAGTAAGGGATGTACAGAAGAATATTTGAAGAAACGATGATCAATATTTTTCCATTTGACAAAAACTATAAACCCACAGATCTAAATGAGGCAGGATAGGTAGTCAAGCAAGTAATCATTTCCTTGGGACATGGCAAATGTGGCAACCACGTTATCAACACAAAGAGTTCCAGCGCTCACACATTATAGTCAAGCTCATCCAAGTAGGACTTGTCCTCAGACTGATCCTTTGCTGATTATAATAGTAAAAAACATACCCACCGGGTGCAGATTTAAAATGCTAATAAGACATGTGATGTATAAACAAGCATGTACAGCAACTGAGCGTATGCACCCAGAGGACCACCCCAAACATACTTACTAGTAACACCTCCTCTCTCTTCCTTATGAATAACCATTTAAGACCCCAATAAAGGGAGTCTCCTCAGAGCCAGTCTTTGCTAACTTACCTCTTGAGCAGCCCTAACTTATCTTTTCAAATGTATCTTCACTTAGCTTTAGAGTGTTCTTTCTCTTTTGCAATAAACTGCTTTCTACTATTTTTCTACTGCAGTGTGTCTCTTATTTAAATTAGTTTAAACTAAGAAAACAAGAACCAAGGACTCTCAATCACTGTCAACATTAGAAGGTGGACAAAAGTAGCACAATAATTATGAAGAAAACTACACCAAGGAACAAGGCAATCACATTACTTAAAACCAGCAATAAAGGGAAAATCTTAAAAGCAGTTTGGAAAAAGACACACATGAACAGAAGAATTATAGTAAGGATAAAATAACATATCCTGTCAGTAAAAAGCAAGCCAGAAAATAGTGAACAGAAGCTTTAAAATACTAAAAGAAAAATTTGTCAACCTAGAAATCTCTGCCCAGAATAAATATTTTACAAATGTGAAGGTAAAATATATTTTTTAGCCGAAAAGTCTGAAAGAAGTAGTTGGTAGCAAAACTTCCATTATATGCAATTTTTAAACAAGTTTTAGGGTGCTGCTAAAGCAGTGCTGAGGGTAAGATTTATACCACTAAATGCTTACAGTTAGCTTTTAGGAAAAAATGTCTCAAATTAATAATCTAAGCTCTCACTTCTAGAAAATAAAAAAGCAGAGCAAAATGAAACAAAAGCAAGCAAAGAAAAGAAAATAATAAAGAACAGAAATCTATGAAATTAAAAACAGAAAAAAATCCAAGTCCTGTTACTTTGAGATCAAAAATATTGGTAAACCTTTAGCCAGACTAATTTGTAAAAAAGACACAAATTATCCAGAAGAGAGAGAACATCACTGCAGATCCTACAGTTAAGAAGACACTAGGGAAATATTATGAAGAACTTCAATGGCAACAAATTTGGCAATCTAGCTAAAATGAAAAAATTACTTGAAAAACACAAACTACTAAAGCTATCTAAAGATAAATTAGGCGAAAAAAAGACTCCATATTAAAGACATAGAATTTGTAGTTAAAAATCTTACCACCAAGAAAACTTCAGGCCCAGATAAATTCACTAGTAAATTATATCAAACATTTAAGAAAAGAGTAATATAAATTCCATACAAATACTTCCAGAAAACTGAAGAAAAATAAAACCTCCCTATGCAGTGAATAAGGCTAGCACTTCTCTGACATAAAAATCAGAAAATATAAGTATTATTTAAAAAGAAAACAAAAGACCAATGTTAACAATAACGATAAATGTGAAAATTATTAACAAGTTTTAGCTAATAGAATCTAACAATATTTTAAAATATAAACTATTGCCAAGTGGGGTCTATCTTTTTATCTTATTAGGAAATATTGGTTGAATTTTTAAAATGTGATTAATATTACTCACCGTATTAACAAAGTAGAAACAAATGATCATCTCTACAGTTGAAGAGACCATTTGTCTTACTTTGCTTATAACAGAATACCTAAAACTGGGTAATTTGTTTTAAAAAGGAAATTTGTTTCTTACAGGTATAGAGGTTGAAATGTCAAAAGGTAAGGCACTGCATCTGGTGAGGGTCTTCTTGCTCCTGTAGTTAAACTTTCTGTAGTGTCCCAGGTTGATGCAGGGCATCACATGGCAAGGGGGCTGAGCATTCTAATGTATTATGCTCAGATTTCTCTTTCTCTTCTTATAAATTCACTAGTTTCACTCTCATGGTAACCCACTAATCCATAAATCCTTTAATCCATTAATCCACAAATAAATTAATCCATTCATGAGGACAGAGCTCTCATAATTGAACCACCTCTTTTTTTTTTTTTTTAGTACAATTTCCGTTTTATTTTTCTCCAGAGAATAGTCTGTCTTCAGTCTTTAAGAACTCAGCTCCTTACATGGGCTTTGGTGGGGGACGTGGGCAGCACTCACAGGTCTAAATCGGGGTGGGGGTGTTCAGTCCTTGTGGGCTTCATGAGATCGATTCCTGACTACTTTGCTGTGAATTGCACAACTCACACAGTAATGTAGCTTCACAAACAGCTTGGGAAGCACATAGGCATCGAAGACGCTCGCTTCAGAAATGTCCCTGACTGCTGCGGCCTCCACTATGTTTCAAATGACGAATTTCTTAATGGCCTTGTCCTTGGGCATGCATCAGGCACAGTTAGTGCAGCAAATAGGCTGCACGTGGCTGTGGCCCTTTTTGGCACGACCATTGTTCCTTCTTTTCTTTGTCATCTTGGAGGCACGCACCGGAGAGCTGAATCACCTCTTAAAGACCATAACTCTCAATACTACTGCATTGGGGATTAAATTTCAACATGCATTTTAGAGGGAGCATTCAAACCATACCACCATTTCACATAATCCATCATTTACGTCTGAAAACAAAAAACAAAAGAGCTCTTGGAAAATTTGGAAAATAAAAAAACTTGCCTAACCTGGTAGAAGACATCCCTGAAAGAACTCCATAGCTAACATCACATAATTATGAAAGACTTAATTCTTCCTTTTAATATCAGGAAAAAGACAAAGATATCCATAGTCATCAGTATTTTTCAATATTGTACTAAAGTTCTAATCAGTGCAATAAGATGAAAAAAAAAATAAAATATATCAAAATTAAAAATGAAGAGACTAACACTATCCTCAGCCAACATTTACCTATGTAGAAAATCCTATGGAATCAACAAAAATGCTATTAGAACTAATAAATGACTTTAGATTGAAATAAATTGATATACCATGTTGTAGAATATCAAGTCCATATAAAAAATACTTAGGGTAAATATGACAGGAAATATGTAAGATTTATTACAAGTTTCAGCACATTTAGCATTAATCACTAAGTCAGGTGCTCTCTGACCTGCTTCCTCAGAGTTGTTTGGTGACTGTTGCCTCAAAATCATCGAGATCCTATTACAAGATTATCTTTCCCCTTATCTACTCTATAGATAATATCTTGAACATTATAAAACATTACATTTTCCATCTGAGACATTCTTTCAGGTCATGCATACCAATGAAACTAATGATGTCAGCTGGTCTGAAGGACCCCACAGGAGCTGACTCACAAAATAATACAGTTTCCACATCCAGAGTATTTCATCTCCTTTACCCCAACCAATCAATGACCCAAATTTTCTAGTCCCTTGCCCTCCATGATCCTTTTAAAAACTCCAGCCCAGAAATCCTCAGGGAGCTGATTTAACGGTCTTTTCCCATGACCTCACTCATTGCCCTGTGATCATTAGACTCTTTCTTTGCTGCAAACCTTACTGTCTCAGGGTAATTGGTCTGTTACTGTGTGATAGGTATATGAACCTGTTGGTCCTATAACAAATTCTCTCCCAAATTAATTTATAGGTTCAATACAATCCCAATCAAAATGAACAGCAGGCTTTTTTTCCCTTACAAATTAAAAAAATAGTTTCTGTAAGTTATATGAAAATGTAGTGGGACTACATTGGCAAATCAACTTTCTAAAAGAACTAAAACAGCTTTAAAAATAACAAGGAAAACCCAATTTAAAATTTTAATACTTATTGTAAAGCTAGAATAATTGATTCTGCATGGTTTGGAAAAACAAGATATATTCAGCAATGAAACAGGATAGAAAATCAAGTAATGGACACGCATATATGTGGTCAATCGATGTTCAACAAAACTGCCACGGCAATTCAGTAGAGGAAAAGCAATCTCTTCAAGATACGTTGCTGGAACAATTGGAGAGCCATCTACAAATGAACTTCAATCTTTATCTACCTCAACAAGAAACACAGAATAGATGAGAAAACAAATGTGGGAGCTAAAAATGTAAATATTCTAGAAGTAATCAGGATAAAGTCTTAATGATCTTATGTTTAGCAAATATTTCTTAAGAATCAAAAAACACAAAAAGAAAATTTCAATAAATTGGAATTCATAAAAATGTTAAACATTGCTTTTGAAGGCACTGTTAGTAGCCACAGTCTGGGAGAAAATAGTTCCAAAATATGTATCTGAGAAATAACTTATATCGAGAAGGCATTAAGAACTGTTACAACTCAAAAATTAGAAGACAAAAATATTTTAAATTTTAAAAATGGGGAAAGATTTGAATAGACACTTTTCAAAAAAAGATAATTCAAATGGCAAATGAGGTAAAAATGGCAAAAAAATGCTCAACGTCATTAATCATTAGGGAACATGAAACTGAAAATGATTTTTAAAGAAAGGATGTGGTAATTTAATTGAGAAATAAGAACTTTATCTACAAATAATTCTGGAACAACTGGTCCTTCCTAAGAAAACACAAGAATTTCAACCTTAGCCTCTCCTTGTAAACAAAAACTAATTCAAAATAAAGGATAGACCTAGAAGTAAAAGTAAAATTTTAGAAATTCCAGAAGAAAACTAATTAGAGAAAGAGTTTTGTGACATGTTACTCAAAAAGTATAAAACATAAAAGTTGGATAAATTGTAATTCATTAAAATAATTAACTGCTCTTCCAAAGACACCATTAATAAATGGTCAATAAACAAATGAAAATATGCTCAGCATCATTCATCACCTGAAAAATATAAGTTAAAACCACAACCGTGGGCTGGGTGCAGTGGCTGACACCTATAATCCCAGCACTTTGGGAGGCCAAGGTGGGCAGATCACTTGAGGTCAGCAGTTCGAGACCATTCTGGCCAACAGGGGGAAACCCCATCTCTACTAAAAATGCAAAAGTTAGCCAGGTGTGGTGGTGTATATGTGTGGTCTCTGCTACTCAGGAGGCTGAGGCACAAGAATTGCTTGAACCTAAGGTGGAGGTTGCAGTGAGCCAAGATCATGCCACTGCACTCCAGCCTGGGTGATGGAGTAAGACCCTGTCTCACACACACACACACACACACACACACACACACACACACACACACCATAAAAACCCCTCACAATGGTATACTATTGTATGCGCATTAGAATGGCTACAATTTTAAAAGACTGGCAGATCTAATTGTTGATGAGGTTGTGGAGCAACAAGAATTCACATGCATTATTGGTGGGATTGTAAAGTGGTAAAATCACTTAAAAAAATAAACCGTGAATTTCTAAAATGATCACAAATATAAATACCATACAACTCAGCAATCTTATTCTTAGATATATACTCAAGAAAAATATAAACACATATCCACACCAAAATTTCTACTCAAATATTCACAGTGGCTATATTCATAATAGCCCAAAACTAGAAACAACCCAAATGTCCTTCCACTGTAGTATATTCATACAATGGAATACTGCTAAGCAATAAAAAGGAACCAACAATGAATACTAATGACGACATGGATGCATCTCATAATAATTATACTGTATCTTATTATTAATTATTATATTAATTGTGCTCTGACTTATTATTAAGATACAGACAAGAGTACATAAAATTCCCTTTATATGAAACTCTATAAAAGTCAAATAGAGAAAAATCCAAATATTCAAAAGTTTATCCTTTTGAAAAATTAAAATATTGGTAAACCCCTTGCAAAAATCAGCAATAAAAAACAAAACAGGCTGGGCATGGTGGCTTATGCCTGTAATCCCAACACTTCAGGAGGCCAAGGCAGCCAGATCACTTGAAGTCAAGAGTTCGAGACCAGCCTGGTCAACATGGCGAAACCCAATCTGTACTAAAAATACAAAAAGTAGCCAGGCGTGGTGGCACATGCCTGTAATCTCAGCTACTCAGGAGGCTGAGGCATGAGAATTGCTTGAACCCGGATGCGGAGGTTACAGTGAGCCAAGATCATGCCACTGCACTCTAGCCTGGGCAACAGAGCAAGACTCCATCTCAAAAACAGGCAAAAAAAAAAAAAAAAAAAAATTGTCACTCCATATCTGACTCCAGTGACTAATACTAATTTTAAGATGGATTATAAATTCCAGCATTAGCTAGAACTCCAAACTTGTAAAAGAAAACAAAACAGAATATCTTTGTAACCTAGAGATAGTTAAATAATTTTGTTTTTTAACCACTAACCAGAAAAAAATAAGCAAGCCACAGACTGGAAAAAATATTGATAGATAGGTAGGTAGATAGATAGATAGATAGATAGATAGATAGATAGATAGATAGATAGATAAATAGATAAATGGATAGATAGATAGATAGATAGATAGACAGCTAGGACAAAGGACTTGCATAAAGGACATATGGATGTTCTCAATCTGTTACACATGAATAACAAGAAAAAAAACAACCCAATAGAAAGGTAGACAAAGTACTAAAAAGAAACCCTTTACCAGTGTTGATCACAAGATTGATCACCTGGAAAGAGGCTTAGCATCATTAGTTATCAGGAACACACAAATTGAAACCAAAATGAAACACCATTATGTGCGCACAACGTGTCTAAAATAAAATTTAAAAAATGTCAGTAATACTAAATCTTGGCAAACGTGGAATAATGAAAACTTTTATACATTGCTTATGGCAGAGTAAAATGTTAAAAGCACTTTGGTTAACTCTTTCTTTTTTTCTGATAATGTTAAGCATAGATCTATTCTATGACCCAGCAACCCACTCCTGTATTACTCAAAAGAATTGAAAACATATGTCTACTGAAAGACAAACACAATACTATCATAAAGGCGTTATTCATAATAATTCAATATTGGAAGCAGCTCAAATGTCCATCAACAAGAAAAAAGACAATGGCATTGTCATATGTTTAGACAATGAGTGCTATTCATCAATTAAAAAGGAGTGAAATACTGACATACACAACAACATGGATCAATTTCCAAATATTATTTTAAGTGAAAGAAAGCAGATCCAGAAGGATACAGACTGGATAATCCCATTATAAGAAATCCAAGAATAGGCAAAACTCACTACAATGAGAGCAATAAAAAAGATTTACCTCTGGAGGGTGGAGGAATTGATAGAAAAGGGGAAGGATCAGTATTATATGTTAAATGTTTAGAACTAGCTGGGGCGGTGGGTGGGTGAAAGTTTTGATTTGTAGCATTTGTTGATTTTTATGCTGTGAATACTTCCAATCTCAAGATATCTAGCTGCCAATGTGATATGACTGAACTAGGAGTTAGGAATGCATGTGAGCAGTTGACTCCCACAGCCCCAGAGAGCTGGCTCCAGCATGCCACTGGGAGGAGATGAAGAAACATTCGTTGGTAATAGAAACATTCTAATTCTTCTTCTGGGATGTGGTTATATGGGTATATAAAATTGTCAAAAGTCAACCTGGGTGTGGAGCCAAGATGGCCGAACAGGAACAGCTCCGGTCTACAGCTCCCAGCGTGAGCGATGCAGAAGACAGGTGATTTCTGCATTTCCATCTAAGGTACCAGGTTCATCTCCCTAGGGAGTGCCAGACAGTGGGCGCAGGACAGTGGGTGCAGCACACCGTGCGTGAGCCGAAGCAGGGCGAGGCATTGCCTCACTTGGGAAGTGCAAGGGGTCAGGGAGTTCCCTTTCCTAGTCAAAGAAAGGGGTGACAGACGCCACCTGGTATATCGGGTCACTCCCACCCTAATACGGCACTTTTCCAACGGGCTTAAAAAATGGCACATCAGGAGATTATATCCCGCACCTGGCTCAGAGGGTCCTATGCCCACAGAGTCTTGCTGATTGCTAGCACAGCAGTCTGAGATCAAACTGCAAGGTGGCAGCGAGGCTGGGGGAGGGGCGCCCACCATTGCCCAGGCTTGCTTAGGTAAACAAAGCAGGCAGGAAGCTCAAACTGGGTGGAGCCCACCACAGCTCAAGGAGGCCTGCCCGCCTCTGTAGGCTCCACCTCTGGGGGCAGGGCACAGACAAACAAAAAGACAGCAGTAACCTCTGCAGACTTAAATGTCCCTGGTCTGACAGCTTTGAAGAGAGCAGTGGTTCTCCCAGCACACAGCTGGAGATCTGAGAATGGGCAGACTGCCTCCTCAAGTGGGTCCCTGACCCCTGACCCCCAAGCAGCCTAACTGGGAGGCACCCTGCAGTAGGGGCAGACTGACACCTCACACGGCCAGGTACTCCTCTGAGACAAAACTTCCAGAGGAACAATCAGACAGCAGCATTCACGGTTCACGAAAATCCACTGTTCTGCAGCCACCACTGATCGTACCCAGGCAAACAGGGTCTGGAGTGGACCTCTAGCAAACTCCAACAGACCTGCAGCTGAGAGTCCTGTCTGTTAGAAGGAAAACTAACAAACAGAAAGGACATCCACACCAAAAACCCATCTGTACATCACCATCATCAAAGACCAAAAGTAGATAAAACCACAAAGATGGGGAAAAAACAGAGCAGAAAAACTGGAAACTCTGAAAAGCAGAGCACCTCTCCTCCTCCAAAGGAACGCAGCTCCTCACCAGCAATGGAACAAAGCTGGATGGAGAATGACTTTGACAAGTTGAGAGAAGAAGGCTTCAGACGATCAAACTACTCTGAGCTACAGGAGGAAATTCAAACCAAAGGCAAAGAAGTTGAAAACTTTGAAAAAAATTTAGACGAATGTATAACTAGAATAACCAATACAGAGAAGTGCTTAAAGGAGCTGATGGAGCTGAAAGCCAAGGCTCGAGAATTACGTGAAGAATGCAGAAGCCTCAGGAACTGATGCGATCAACTGGAAGAAAGGGTATCAGTGATGGAAGATGAAATGAATGAAATGAAGCGAGAAGGGAAGTTTAGAGAAAAAAAAATAAAAAGAAACGAACAAAGCCTCCAAGAAATATGGGACTACATGAAAAGACCAAATCTACGTCTGATTGGTGTACCTGAAAGTGATGGGGAGAATGGAACCAAGTTGGAAAACACTCTGCAGGATATTATCCAGGAGAACTTCCCCAATCTAGCAAGGTAGGCCAACATTCAGATTCAGGAAATACAGAGAACGCCACAAAGATACTCCTTGAGAAGAGCAACTCCAAGACACAATTGTCAGATTCACCAAAGTTGAAATGAAGGAAAAAAGGGCAGCCAGAGAGAAGGGTCGGGTTACCCACAAAGGGAAGGCCATCAGACTAACAGCTGATCTCTCAGCAGAAACTCTACAAGCCAGAAGAGAGTGGGGGCCAATATTCAACATTCTTAAAGAAAAGAATTTTCAACCCAGAATTTCATATCCAGCCAAACTAAGCTTCATAAGTGAAGGAGAAATAAAATCCTTTACAGACAAGCAAATGCTGAGAGATTTTGTCACCACCAGGCCTGCCCTAAAAGAGCTCCTGAAGGAAGCACTAAACATGGAAAGGAACAACTGGTACCAGCCACTGCAAAAACATGCCAAATTGTAAAGACCATCAAGGCTAGGAAGAAACTACATCAACTAACGAGCAAAATAACCAGCTAACATCATAATGACAGGATCAAATTCACACGTAACAATATTAACTTTAAATGTAAATGAACTAAATGCTCCAATTAAAAGACACAGACTGGCAAAGTGGATAAAGAGTCAAGACCCATCAGTGTGCTGTATTCAGGAAACCCATCTCACATGCAGAGACACACATAGGCTCAAAATAAAAGGATGGAGGAAGATCTACCAAGCAAATGGAAAACAAAAAAAGGCAGGGGTTGCAATCCTAGTCTCTGCTAAAACACACTTTAAACCAACAAAGATCAAAAGAGACAAAGAAGGCCATTACATAACGGTAAAGGGATCAGTTCAACAAGAAGAGCTAACTATCCTAAATATATATGCACCCAATACAGGAGCACCCAGATTCATAAAGCAAGTCCTGAGTGACCTACAAAGAGACTTAGACTCCCACACAATAATAATGGGAGACTGTAACACCCCACTGTCAATATTAGACAGATCAATGAGACAGAAAGTTAACAAGGATACCCAGGAATTGAACTCAGCTCTGCACCAAGCAGACCTAATAGACATCTACAGAACTCTCCACCCCAAATCAACAGAATATTCATTTTTTTCAGCACCACACCACACCTATTCCAAAATTGACCACATAGTTGGAAGTAAAGCTCTCCTCAGCAAATGTAAAAGATCAGACATTATAACAAACTATCTCTCAGACCACAGTGCAATCAAACTAGAACTCAGGATTAAGAAACTCACTCAAAACCTCTCAACTACATGGAAACTGAACAGCCTGCTCCTGAATGAGTACTGGGTACATAACGAAATGAAGGCAGAAATAAAGATGTTCTTTGAAACCAATGAGAACAAAGACACAACATACCAGAATCTCTGGGACACATTCAAAGCAGTGTGTAAAGGGAAATTTATAGCACTAAATGCCCACAAGAGAAAGCAGGAAAGATCCAAAATTGACAACCTAACATCACAATTAAAAGAACTAGAAAAGCAAGAGCAAACACATTCAAAAGCTAGCAGAAGGCAAGAAATAACTAAAATCAGAGCAGAACTGAAGGAAATAGAGACACAAAAAACCCTTCAAAAAATTAATGAATCCAGGAGCTGGTTTTTTGAAAGGATCAACAAAATTGATAGACCGCTAGAAAGACTAATAAAGAAGAAAAGAGAAAAGAATCAAATAGACGCAATAAAAAATGATAAAGGGGATATCACCACCGATCCCACAGAAATACAAACTACCATCAGAGAATACTACAAACACCTCTACGCAAACAAACTAGAAAATCTAGAAGAAATGGATAAATTCCTCGACACATACACCCTCCCAAGACTAAACCAGGAAGAAGTTGAATCTCTGAATAGCCCAATAACAGGCTCTGAAATTATGGTAGTAATAAATAGCTTACCAACCAAAAAGAGTCCAGGACCAGATGGATTCACAGCCGAGTTCTACCAGAGGTACAAGGAGGAACTGGTACCATTCCTTCTGAAACTATTCCAATCAATAGAAAAAGAGGGAATCCTCCCTAACTCATTTTATGAGGCCAGCATCATCCTGATACCAAAGCCGGGCAGAGATACAACCAAAAAAGAGAATTTTAGATCAATATCCTTGATGAACATTGATGCAAAAATCCTCAATAAAATACTGGCAAACCAAATCCAGCAGCACATCAAAAAGCTTATCCACCATGATCAAGTGGGCTTCATCCCTGGCATGCAAGGCTGGTTCAGTATATGCAAATCAATAAATGTAATCCAGCATATAAACAGAACCAAAGACAAAACCACTTGATTATCTCAATAGATGCAGAAAAGACCTTTGACAAAATTCAACAATGCTTCATGCTAAAAACTCTCAATAAATTAGGTATCGATGGGATGTATCTCAAAATAATAAGAGCTATCTATGACAAACCCACAGCCAATATCATACTGAATGGTCAAAAGCTGGAAGCATTCCCTTTGAAAACTGGCACAAGACAGGGATGCCCTCTCTCACCACTCCTATTCAACATAGTGTTGGAAGTTCTGGCCAGGGCAATTAGGCAGGAGAAGGAAATAAAGGGTATTCAATTAGGAAAAGAGGAAGTTAAATTGTCCCTGTTTGCAGATGACATGATTGTATATCTAGAAAACCCCATTGTCTCAGCCCAAAGTCTCCTTAAGCTGATAAGCAACTTCAGCAAAGTCTCAGGATACAAAATCAATGTACAAAAATCACAAGCATTCTTATACACCAATAACAGACAAACAGAGAGCCAAATCATGAGTGAACTCCCATTCACAATTGCTTCAAAGAGAATAAAATACCTAGGAATCCAACTTACAAGGGATGTGAAGGACCTCTTCAAGGAGAACTACAAACCACTGCTCAAGGAAATAAAAGAGGATACAAACAAATGGAAGAACATTCCATGCTCATGGGTAGGAAGAATCAATATCGTGAAAATGGCCATACTGCCCAAGGTAATTTATAGATTCAATGCCATCCCCATCAAGCTACCAATGACTTTCTTCACAGAATTGGAAAATGGCCGTACTGCCCAAGGTAATTTATAGATTCAATGCCATCCCCATCAAGCTACCAATGACTTTCTTCACAGAATTGGAAAATGACCATACTGCCCAAGGTAATTTATAGATTCAATGCCATCCCCATCGAGCTACCAATGACTTTCTTCACAGAATTGGAAAAAACTACTTTAAAGTTCATATGGCACCAAAAAAGAGCCCGCATCGCCAAGTCAATCCTAAGCCAAAAGAACAAAGCTGGAGGCATCACACTACCTGACTTCAAACTATACTACAAGGCTACAGTGACCAAAACAGCATGGTATTGGTACCAAAACAACATGGTATTGGTACCAAAACAGAGATATAGATCAATGGAACAGAACAGAGCCCTCAGAAATAACGCCGCATATCTACAACTATCTGATCTTTGACAAACCTGAAAAAAATAAGCAATGGGGAAAGGATTCCCTATTTAATAAATGGTGCTGGGAAAACTGGCTAGCCATAGGTAGAAAGCTGAAACTGGATCCCTTCCTTACACCTTATACAAAAATTAATTCAAGATGGATTAAAGACTTAAACGTTAGACCTAAAACCATAAAAACTCTAGAAGAAAACCTAGGCATTACCATTCAGGACACAGGCATGGGCAAGGACTTCATGTCTAAAATACCAAAAGCAATGGCAACAAAAGCCAAAATTGACAAATGGGATCTAATTAAACTAAAGAGCTTCTGCACAGCAAAAGAAACTACCATCAGAGTGAACAGGCAACCTACAAAATGGGAGAACTTTTTTTGCAACCTATTCATCTGACAAAGGGCTAATATCCAGAATCTACAATGAACTCAAACAAATTTACAAGAAAAAAACAACCCCATGAAAAAGTGGGCAAAGGACATGAATAGACACTTCTCAAAAGAAGACATTTATGCAGCCAAAAAACACATGAGAAAATGCTCACCATCACTGGCTATCAGAGAAATGCAAATCAAAACCACAATGAGATACCATCTCATACCAGTTAGAATGGCAATCGTTAAAAAGTCAGGAAACAACAGGTGCTGGAGAGGATGTGGAGAAATAGGAACACTTTTACACTGTTGGTGGGACTGTAAACTAGTTCAACCATTGTGGAAGTCAGTATGGCAATTCCTCAGGGATCTAGAACTAGAAATACCATTTGACCCAGCCATCCCAGTACTGGGTATATACCCAAAGGACTATAAATCATGCTGCTATAAAGACACATGCACACGTATGTTTATTGCGGCACTATTCACAATAGCAAAGACTTGGAACCAACCCAAATGTCCAACAATGATAGACTGGATTAAGAAAATGTGGCACATATACACCATGGAATACTATGCAGCCAAAAAAATGATGAGTTCATGTCCTTTGTAGGGACATGGATGAAATTGGAAATCATCATTCTCAGTAAACTATTGCAAGAACAAAAAACCAAACACCGTATATTCTCACTCATAGGTGGGAATTGAACAATGAGAACACATGGACACAGGAGGGGGAACATCACACTCTGGGGACTGTTGTGGGGTGGGGGGAGGGGGGAGGGATAGTTTTAGGAGATATACCTAATGCTAGATGACGAGTTAATGGGTGCAGCACACCCCCATGGCACATGTATACATATGTAACTAACCTGCACGTTGTGCACATGTACCCTAAAACTTAAAGTATAATAATAATAAAAAATTGTCAAAAGTCATCATATTTATTAGAAATTTGAAATCTGTGCATTTTTGTATGTCAGTTGCATTTCAGTTTTTTAAAAAGTGGTAAGTGGCACATGCTAGGTAAAAAGAAAAGACTTGCCACTGGAATTGTCTTCAGGCCAACACTGTAACATGCCAGAATATCTCAGTATAACAAAGAACCCCCAAATTTAATGGCTTAAAGCAATGACATCATTTATTTTGCTCAAGAGCAAAATATTTATTGTCATTATCAAATGAAATATCATTTATTTTGTGCAGGGCTTAGCAGGGATAGCTCATCTCTGCTCCGCTTATATTAGCTACATCAGTTCCAAGGCTGGACATTAGAATCATCTCTCACTCACTCAAATATCTGATGGTGGATACTGGGGCTTACATGTGACCTCTTAATGTGGCCTGGGCTTTCTTACAAACCTGAGCCCAGGTTCTAAGAGTGAATATCCAAGAGAAGGAAGCCAGACAGAAGCTGTATCATCTTTTCTAACCTAGCCGGGGAAGTCACACTGCTTCCCTCCTAGTTCATTCTATTTGTCAGAGCAGCCACAAGCCTGCCCAGGTTTAAGAGATGGTGAAATAGTCTTCAGCTCTTCATGGGGAATGCCAAAATGCTAGAAGAATATATGAGACCGGAAATATTGTTGCAACTATTCTGAAAAATACATTCTGCCATAGACTGTTATCTGGCATCATACCCCTCCCTCTTACATAGAAAATACTCAAGGCTCTTCCTAGAATCTTCCAAAACTCATACTAGCCCCAAAAGATGTATAGATATACTTTTTTAAAAAGACATCCCATTTCAGCATTATATTTTAAATGTAGAGAAGATTCAGAATCTTATTATCTAAGTCAGATACAGGGATAGGGAAGGCTCCTTGAGTCTGATCCTCAAGAATTCCAAGTACGAAGAACTGGGAAATAAAGAGACGAGTTATCTGTACCCTACACAGCTAATAACCTAAACTGTGTGACAAGCATGAGATAATCGTAATGGATGTCTCGTTAGTAAAGTGGGAAAACTGGAAGCATCCAGTAACTACTGGTTCATAGCAAATGTGAAATACTTGCCAATCCTTGATTAGGGCTCTGTTCTACTTCCTGGGAGTGAATGATTCACTATTCCCCTTGGCTCCGTTCTCTGGGCTCTTTTCTCTGGGCTCCTCCTTGTGCCCTCTGTTTGGCTGGTTCTTGCCTGTAGTCATTCTAGAGTCCAAAGGCCTCTTTTTCTTTTTTTTTTTTTAACGTAAAACTACAAACTTTGTTCATATTTTACAAGTTTTTCCTTTAATTTTCCATGAATGCCCTAAAATTTCTGGATCTAATTTAGGATACCTCATTGCGTTTAGTCATCTCTTTAGTCTCCTTCAATCTGTGACAGTTTTTCAGCCTTTTACAATCTTGACACTTTTTAAAATTTAAAATAAAGTTTTACTGAGATATAATTTGCATACCATACAATTTACCCACTAAAGTGTACAATGAAATGATGTTTTAAATAATTTCAAAGAGCTTTGCAATCTTTGTACAATCTGATTTTAAAACATTTTAATCACCCCAAAAAGAAGCCTCATACCCAATTGTATTCATTGCTCATTTCTCTGCCCTAAAAACCTCCCAGCTGTAGGCAACTACTAACTACATATACATTTCCATATACATTTCAGAAATATATTGTCAAGTACTATAAGACAGCTATGATTTTGATAGGAATTGTATTGAATCTATAGATCAGTTAGAGTATATCACCATCTTTACAATATTAAGACTTCAAATCCATGAACATATGATGTATTTCTGTTTATTTAGATCTTCTGAATTAATCAATGATGTTTTGTAGTTTTAAGAGTATAACTTTTGAACTTTTTCTGTTACATTTATTCCTAGGTATATTATTCCCCTAGACACAATTTTAATGGAATTTTATACTTAATCTCATTTTCAGATTATTTGTTGCTAGTATATAGAAATACAATGAATTTTTATACATTGATCTTGGGACTTTATACATTCACTCTTGGGACTTGGTTTTTCTGGACATTTAGTATAAATAAAATTATAAAATATGTGATCTTTTGTGTCTGGCTTCTTTCACTCAGTGTATTGTTTTCATAGTTTATATATGTTGTAGCAGATATCTACTGAATGAACTACCGTTCCTTCTTTTCTATTACTAAATAAAATTCTGTTGGACCAGGATGCCACATTTCACTTATCTGTTTGTCAGTTGATAGACTTTTGGGTTGTTTCCACCTCTTGGCTATTATGAATAATGCTGCTATGAACATTTTTGTAGACATTTTTTTCTGGTGGAACTATGTTTCCGTTTTGGAGGAGTATATGCCAAGGAGTAGAATTGCTGGGTCGTATGGTAACTTTATGTTTAACATTTTGAGGGGCTGCCAAACTGTTCTTCAAAGCAGCTGCACCATTTTACATGCCATCAGCAATGTATGAAGGTTGCAATTTCTGCACATTCTTTCCTACACTTATTATCTGTCTTTTTGATTACAGCTATCCTGATGGGTGTGATATGGCATCTCATTGTGGTTTGGATTTGCATTTCCTAATGGCAAATGATGCTGAGCATATTTTTATGTCCTTATTGGCCATTTGTGAATCTTTTTTGAGAAATGTCTATTCAAATCCTTTGCCCATTTTTAAATTGGGTTATCTTTTTATTGTTGAGTACTAAAAGTTATTTATATATTCTGGATACATTCCCTTAACAGATATATGACTTGCAAATACTTTCTCTAATTCTTTGGGGTTTCTTTCCCCTTTCTTGATGACATGGTTTATAGTATAAAAGTATTCAATTTTGATAAAATCCAATTTATCAATTTTTTAGTTTGTTACTTTTGCTTTTGGTGTCATATCTAAGAAACCATTACCTAAACCAAGATCACAAAGATTTACTTCTATGTTTTCTTCCAAGAGTTTTCTACTTTCAATCCCTAAATTTAAGTCCACAATCCATTATGTGATAATTTTGTGTGTGGTGTATTTTTGCATATGAATATCCAGTTGTTCCAACACCACTTCTTAAAAAGACTATTATTTTCCCATTGAATTGTCACAAATCAATTGATCATAAATGTAAAGGCCTTGTTTCTGGACTATCACTGCTATTCCATTGATCTATATGTCTAGCCTTATGCCAGTACAACATTGTCTTGATTACTGTATCTTTGTGGTAAGTATAAAATTGGGAAGTGTTAATCTTCCAAATTTATTCTTATTTTTCAAGATTATTTTGACTATTATTGGTCCATTGATTTCCATATACATTTCAGAAATATATTGTCAAGTACTATAAGACAGCTATGATTTTGATAGGAATTGTATTGAATCTATAGATCAGTTAGAGCATATCACCATCTTTACAATATTAAGACTTCGAATCTATGAACATATGATGTATTTCTATTTATTTAGATCTTCTGAATTAATCAATGATGTTTTGTAGTTTTAAGAGTATAACTTTTGAACTTTTTCTGTTACATTTATTCCTAAGTATGTTGTTCCCCTAGACGCAATTTTAATGGAATTTTATACTTAATCTCATTTTCAGATTATTTGTTGCTAGTATATAGAAATACAATGAATTTTTATACATTGATCTTATATTTTGAATTTATTTATTAGTTCTAAGAGGGTGAGTATGTTTGTGTATTCATTAGTATCTTCTATGTGTGGCGCATCTGAAAATAGAGATTGCTTTATTTATTCATTTTCAATATCGATGTCTTTCTTTTTCTTTCCTACTTTCCTTGGCTAGAGATGTCAGTATACTGTTGAGTAGAAATGAGAATGGACTACTTGACTGATTCCTGATTTTAGGGAGGAAAGCATCCAGTCTTTCACCCTTAAGTATGACAAAGCTGTGAAATTCTGTAGATGCCCTTTGCAAGTTGGAGTTTCCCTTCTATTCCTAATTTGTGGAGCTCTTTACATTTTATATCATCTCTTTTTCTTCTAGTTAAATTTTATTAAGGTCTACTCCATCAGACAAAAGCCATAGCCATTGAAATTCCTTTGAAGTAAGGCCTCGTCCATCTTGGGCTTCCCGTAGAGCTATTGTGAGACAACACCCTTAAGATTCTTAGAAGCTCTTCTTTTAAAAAAAAAAAAAAAAAGGATTTTTCCATGAGAATTAACCTTAAGATAATTGGAGCAAGATTTTTTTTTTTTTTTTTTAGCTTGAGCTATCATCTTAAATGTTTCTGATGTCTCAACATAGGGTTTTCTGGTCACAGTCTTGTCTTCCTCTGTAGATAAAGCTCTATATTTGACCTTCCTGATAACAGTTCTCAATTTGACCTTTGCCTGGAAGCCATTTCCCTTTTTTTTTGTGAGACAGAGTCTCGCTCTGTCACCCAGGCTGGAGTGCAGTGGTGTGATCTCGGCTCACCGCAACCTCCGCCTCCCAGGTTCAAGTGATTCTCCTGCCTCAGCCTCCTGAATACCTGGGATTACAGGTGCATACCACCACTCCTGGCTAATTTTTTTTTTGTATTTTTTGTAGAGATGGGGTTTCGCCATGTTGGCCAGGCTGGTCTCGAACTCCTGACGTCAGGTGATCCACCCGCCTCGGCCTTCCAAGTGCTGGGATTACAGGTGTGAGCCACCACACCTGGCCACCATTTCTTAATTTTAGCATTATTTGCTATATGGAGAGGCTGGCAATAAAATGGAGTTGTAATTTTTGAACCCAGTACATCCTCGTTCCTTTATATTTAACAATCCCTTCTTCAGTTATAGCTTTCCTCTTGCATTTTACTGTGAACAGCTAGAAGCTAGACGACATCTTGAACACACTACCTGGAAATCTCCTCAGCTAGATCCAGTTCATTAGGTAAACTTTCTATTTCCTATGTCACTATAGGTGACAGTGTTGCTAAACTTTCTGTCACTTTATATTAAACGTCCCCTTTCCTCAAGCTCCCAATAACATTTTCCTCACTTTTTTAAGACCTCACAGACAACTTCCTCAGGGCAATCAGGCCTCAGCTAACAGTCTCTTCAGGGGCCATGCACTTCTGCCCTCTCCTTGGTCCCAAAGCCACTTCCACATGTTTAGGTTTTTGTTATGATAGTTTTCTACTTCACACAATAAAACCTGTTCTACTTATCATGGCTGTACAACAAGTCACTCTAAATTTTAGTAGCTTAAAACAATGACAGCATTTATTGTACTCAGGAATCTGCTGAGTGAGGCTCAGCATGAATAGCTCACCTGCACCCCATAGCATCTGTTAACAGCTTGCAGAGTGAGAATCAAAGTTACCCAAAGGCTTGTTCACTCACATAATTGGAGTCGATGTTGATTCTCAGCTGAAACCTTAAATAGGACTTTCAACCAGAGCAGATACAGGGACCTCACCACGTCGCTTGGGCTTTCTTGCAACATGATGACCTAGTTCCAAGGGCAAGCACATGAGCAAGAGAGATAGAGAGTGCACTAGGGAGAAGCTCACTCATCTGTTCTAAGATAGCTTCAGAAGTCACGTGACATCACTTCCACCACATTTTCTATGTGACACAGTCACAAGCCTGCCAAGGGTAAAAGGAAGGGAAATAACCTTTATCTCTTAATGGAGAGTGGTGAGGTTCAGGGAGATTATATTGTATGGAAATATCACTATGCCTTTTTTTTTTTTAAGAGACAGGGTCTTGCTCTGTTGCTCAGGCTGCTATACAGTAGCATGATATAGCTCACTACAGCCTTGAACTCTTGGGTTGAAGCAATCCTTCAGCCTCAGCCTCTTGAGTAGCTGGGACTAAAGGTATGTGCCACCACTCCCAGCTATGTGCCATTTTTGATAATTACAACCTGCCACAAGAGTCAATTCATTTTCCTTATAGAAATGATGCATTAAGATAATCCTTGAAAAATAGAGTTGCATATGAATTGATGAGCCAAGTGAAAGATATATTTATCAAATATATTTAACATATATATGTATATATTTGATAAAATTGTTTGCCTTTTAATACTCAGGTCGCCTGGGCTGAACTGAGCTTCTTTACTTTGAATTTCTTTTTATTTGCACATATTATGCCTCTGATTTTTGTCTTTATATCATTTACCTGGATCTCCCTTACAGAAGCAAGAAGTTAGACCCAGACAAATCTCTGAGTCAATCAAAGATAGTTGAGGCTTGGGATGTTAAATGAGATGGTTCAATGAATCACAACTCTTTTACCACAGATATGGGCATTGGAACACATGCCCTTGCTAGTGTAGGAGGGAAAAATGAGCTGTGTCTGTATGGATAAAGACCAGATGGGGATGTGACTCCATGCCTTCAGTGTGACTTGCTCCACACCATCAAGACTCATTGGCATGCATCTGCATTCTTCTCCCTGCCCATGGTCAGTTTTTCAAGAACTAAGTATCAGTAAGAAGGTAAGCAATAGACAATAACTGGTGGGCATTAATTAAGTCCACACTGGGCTGACTCCAGCAGAACACATGTCTAATGGTTACACAGAGAGGAGAGAATAAAAATCAATCTGGTTAATGTTATTCTGGCCTCTGTCAAGGGATGAGGAAATGGACTTATCATGCTTTGAAATGTAATGCAAACTTGGATATCAGGATGATAGACAGCATAAAATACAGATAGAACTGGTTTTCTCCCTCCTCCAAAGCTCCCTAAAAGAGCCAACTTCCCATTTGACAGACCAGGTCAATAAGGCTGTCTTTTTTACATTTTCATAATGATAACTTCAGTTTTAGTACTTCCATCACCATTGGACAGGAACAGGCATCCCTTGGCACTAGTACTGTGGCATGATTCTTGAGCATAAAAGTTGGCCCCAGTCAGAATAGAGGCAGTAGGCATGAAAACAATCATTCCAAGAAAGGCTAAGCAAACTTCCAGAGGCCAGTTATGTAGACAGCATCCAAGAGATCAGATCTCATAAGTGCCTCTTCCTACCTGGATCAGCAGAATGATTTTGGTTGTTGCGTGGGTTAAGGGAAACATTAAACTAGCAAGCAGGAGGTTCAGTTTCTACTCGTGAACCAACTACTAATTCAAGGCCTCAGTTTATGCATCTGTTACATGAGGAGGTTGGTTTTCATGCTCTCTAAATAATTCTCATCTCTGTCGTTCCCCTGTGACCTCTCCCATATGGTCCCAACCCTGTTTATGTGAAGTGGGTGCCAGCTTTTACCCAGGCTCCCAAGCTAAAGTGAGACTGTGCAAGGTCCTGAATGTGGAAGTTTATTTTGTAGCACATGCTATATGCAATTTCTAGCTTTAGGGACTCTAATCTTGCCACTAGAAATAGACTCACAAAACGTTTCTGCCAGCAGGCTAATGTCAAAATCATCTGAGGATAATTCACAGGCACACCTGAACAGACCATGGAGGGGTTGGCTTTCCACAACAGAATCCTTCATGGAGAGAATGCTTGGTGAAGAAGCTTCCTACAGGAAGGTTTTTGGGACCTGGGACATGCCTGCCCTGAAAGAGATGGGAAGGTTTTAGAAATGCAGCCCTGTTGTGCAAGCCTCCCCTCCAGTGCCTGCCTATTTTTATCAAATTTATTCCCATCCTCAGTGAAAAAAATGTGTGAGATTATAGAGGAAACACTTGGTCAGTGATGCTTTCCTAGGACCCATTTCATTTTGTTTTTGTTTTTTTTTCCCTAGTTAGCTTATTGTCTTAAAGAGGTGTCACCTACCTCTCTGTGTCTAGTGGCTTCCTCTGTTAAATGGGACCGCCTTTCTCAAAGAGTGCCTCAGTCAGAGTTCTCCAGAGAAGCAGAACCAACAGAGATTATATACCTATTGAACATATACAATCTCCTATTGGTATTTATAATATGTTATAAATAAATGTATATGTATATAAAGAGGTATATTTGTATTGGCTCACAAGATGATAAAGACTATAAAGTCCCACAGTCTGTCATCTGCAAGCTGGAGATGCAGGAAATCCAGTGGTGTGGGCTGAAGGCCTGAGAGCTAGAGGCTGGAGGGATAGATTCAAGGCCAAGTCTGAGGACCTGAGACCAGGAATGCTGGGGGCAGTAGATGAAAGTCCCAGCTCAAGTAGTCAAGCAAAGTCCAAGTTCAACCTTCCCTCTGCCTCCCTTTTGTTCTATTCTGGCCGTCAATAGATTGGATGATACCCACCAACATTGAAGCGGGGATCGGGGGGGCATCTGCTTAACTCAGTCCACCAATTCAAATGTCAAGTGCCAGTTTTTTTCCCAGACACCCTCACAGACACACCCAGCAATAATGTTCAACCAACTATCAGGGGATCCTATGTCCCCATTAAGTTGACACATAAAATTAACCATCACACAGAGTGAGGTATTAATTTTACATTTTAAAGTAAGATTTTGTATGCAAAATTCTTTGAAAATGGGATAGTAGAATACGATTTTAAGGTACTGTTATTACTGAGATATTAGCTTGCTCTAGAAACCCCTGGAGTAGTCTGGATCAGCGTTCGGTGCTTTTCAGGTACGAATGGAGAGATCAAAGTCAGAGATTTTTGACTTCCAAAGCAACCTGAGCACTTAGGGCTGAACTATTTAAAGCCAGCACCACAGAGGGAACAGCAAAGGTGGAGACAACCTGCAGAGTCCAGCCTTTTCAAAGGAAATAATGAGCTATTCAGTTAGCATTCTGTGGGCTTTAAAAAATGTGGCAGGGGGCGGGGGGAATGTTAGTTCAGCCACTACTACTGAAAAATGCTCACTGTTCAACTTGCCTGCTGCAATTTAAGCCGCCAAATAATTCAGAGCTGCTACAGATGCTGGAGTCAAGAGTGTTTCAAAAAGCATCAGCTTCCCCAGCTCCTAATCACATTTTAAAATAAAATTGGAGCTTTCAACACAGCCCGGGAGCTGTTCCTTATATTCTTCAAGGACTTAGACATCCACCCTGGAGCTACTGGACCTTTGTCCATGTCTGGTTTTGAATCTTCTTCCATTCCTTTGGCACTTGCAGCCTAGTAGGTGAAAGGTGGTGGGTTTAGCTGGTTTGGATTTTAGTGGGAGCCCCCCCTCTGCACTGAATTGGGAAAAATCTAGTTATCAAATACAGGAATTGGGCTCAATGAGCGTACTGCAAGCACTTACTAAGAATCACTATGACCCCAGCACTGTATTGTTGCATTAGTGGAGACACCAAAGTGCCCATGGCTTTCATAGTGAGAGGTAATAAGGGATCTTTAAGAGTAGGGAGGATTCACTGAAGGTCCTGGATGGATTTCTCCAGAGTCCCTTTTGGGAAGTTATGGCCTCAGGCCTCTGCTTCTCTGGCTATGCTGACATGTTTTTGTTCATGGTAGAAAATTGTCCTGGTATTATCTATGCCCTGTCCTTATGATTTCAGCATCTGGTCTGGACTCTCCATCTCCCATTCCTTCTTTAGCCCATCTGCTCTTATTTCCCAGCAATTTAACCTATTCATTTCCTCTTCTTTGCTTCTCTTGTTCATTCTAGTTTCATCTCTGGCTTGACTTTCTTTGAATTCCTTTCTCACCTTCTAGCCAGGGACTAAGTTCCAACCTCTCTGTGCAACTCTATCACATTGTCCATAGGGCAAGAGCCTTCTGTGCTCAGCCATTTCTTTGATATTACTTCCTTCCTGGTAGTCAGGCATATGTTGGTTAGAGTAATCTCTCATAGCAAAAAGCTAAACCTTCACTCATAACCATTTGTTGGTAGAAGTTGAAAGGTGATGACCTTTTGGGAAAAGAATTCGGGATTATATATGAAGTTTTATTAAAATTATCACAACCTTTGTCCTAAGACTTCTACATTTAAGACTGCACCTTAATACATTGTTTCTTAATAAATAACTATTTTACTAACACATAATCTAAAATAACGCGAATGTCTAAACATGATTAAACTTTTGAGCATGGTTAAGTAAACTTTTTGAAATGTAATGTAGCCTTTAAATATGTACTGCATAAATATTTCTTTAATGAAGGAATAACACTAAGGGTTGTTAAAGAGGTCAGCTGTTCATGCCTGATTTATTCCTTTTCAGTCTCCTATTGAAATAGCCATGAAAAGGCAGAAAACACAGTCTGAACGACACCAGAAACTAATGAAATCATTCAATGATAGCATTCAAACTAAAGTGAGTTTCATGAAGGAAATATTCTGGGAGGGAGAGTGTCTGAACAAGGTAGAAAAATCATTCAGACACATGAAACGAAACAACAACATTACACCTACACTTGGGATATAGAGCCCAGGCTACAACCAGATAGCCTGATCATTCTTCCTCCTGCTATAAGAGAACGGAATTTTTTTTTTTTTTTTTTTTTTTTTTTTTTTGAGATGGAGTCTCACTCTGTCACCCAGGCTGGAGTGCAGTGGGGTGATCTCGGCTCACTGCAAGCTCCCCCTCCCAGGTTCACGCCATTCTCCTGCCTCAGCCTCCCAAGTAGCTGGGACTACAGGCGCCCGCCACCACGCCCAGCTAATTTTTTGTATTTTTTAGTAGAGACGGGGTTTCACCGTTTTAGCCGGGATGGTCTCGATCTCCTGACCTCGTGATTCGCCCGCCTCGGCCTCCCAAAGTGCTGGGATTACAGGCGTGAGCCACTGCACCCAGCCAAGAACGGATTTTTGAGACACATAAAGACACTACTTCCATTGAAGCTTCTCTCATCAGTAATTATTTTGTTTCCAACTTCTAACTTTCAGCAATATAAAACTACTATAGCTGAAAGAGGGGCTTATGAATCGTGGCAGTGAAATATATTTTTACATAGGTAAGAGCTCAAAAACTATCCCACCCATGTATTCTTCCTGAAAAGGTTATTCTAAGGTACAATCTAGCTGACAGATACTGTGAAGCAAATGTGGGAACTCAAGAAAGATGAAGGTGGAGTAGGAAAGGATTGCAAGTACAATTCTATCAGTTCACATACATAGTTATGTTGAAATATTAATTTAATTGTTTTAAAAAAGTGCTAAAGTAAAAATAATCTGGAAAGTGTTATACAACAAAAATAATATCTAGTTTTATAACTTTATATTATGTTATAAAGATTGTGTAATGGTGAGCAGAAAGAAGTAAAATTGTACTAAATTCCTTATTTTACATTAATATGGGCTAGCTTTTATCAAAACTATTAGAATTATGAGAACAAAGTGATAAAAACATGTTTGACAATTCAAGAATATAAAAATGGACACAAATTTTAAATAATAGGAATAAAAAATTAATAGGGACTTTAATCGCTATCAATCAGACTTTAGTCTATAAAATCACAAATTAGTACCCCTTTCCAAGTGTTCATGCAACATTTACAAAAATTGGCCATACACTACTTTAAAAAGAATGCCAATAAATTCCAAAGGACTTATGCCAAATGTTCTTTCAGCATTTATTTTCTCTTGTCAGCCTCTGTAACCCATATCCAAGTAAAATCACACCCACTGATGGTCTTCTGAAACTCAAAGGACATACCTTGCCTCATTTCTATACATGCCATGATTCCCAACATTTATGGCTTGAGAAGCTTTGAGTATGGACACAATTTTGTTAAGAAGAATAAATCAGAATATCCACTAAGAATGTAGAAAGTTTTAAAGAAAGTTGCTTCCCACCTAACAAGAAGAAAAAGTGGAAAATCTACAAAATCGCAACTTTTCTTGAACCCATCAGAGAGTTGACATGGCAGGGAAACGAGTTAGTCTGAAGTCTAAAGAAAAACAGGCACCTTTTGGCAGATGCAGGATACAAGCCCTGGCTTATTTGGGGCAGAGGACAGATGACCAAAAGAATGTGGTGCAGCCATGAAAACAAATAAGAGTTCAGCTGAACTTTTAACAAATGGCTAAAATCAGAGTGTGAGCTAGTGTGAGAGCATAGAGCCATAGATATGAGGGAGTTTCTAACTATTTGAAGTTTCTTTGTTTTTATTTAATTTTTTTGAGATGGAGTCTCATCCTGTCGCCCAGGCTGGAGTTCAGTGGTGTGAACACAGCTCACTGCAACCTCCACCTCCTGGGTTCAAGCAATTCTGCTGCCTCAGCCCCCCGGGTAGTTGGGATTACAGGCGTGCGCCACCATACCCGGCTAATTTTTGTATTTTTAGTAGAGACAGGGTTTCACCATGTTGGTCAGGCTGGTCTTGAACTCCTGACCTCGTGATCCACCCACCTTGGACTCCCAAAGTGCTGGGATTACATGAAATCTCTTTATTAACCTCATGGGGGGTTCATTAGAAAGATTGGGAGCAGGGCAACTGATCTCAAAAAAAAAAAAAAAACTATTGTATTGCAGGCTTGGGGAAGGGGAGCAGCCATTGCTGCAGGAAAGAGGAAAGACAACAGAGCTCTGCCCAGGTCCTTCTCCCCCATGGAAAAGTAAGCTTATGTCACTAGGGGATGGCTGGCAAATACTATCATTCTCAAGTGAAGACCTATTGAGGCTAGAAGAAAACAGAAAAACTGCCTACCCTTAGAGGAAAGACAGGAAACCATCCTGGCCCAGATCTGGAGATCTATCACTAGGGGAGGAGAAGGATCACTGAGAAAGTCCACCCCTGGAAGCCAGGAATGCTGGGCTTGCCCCAAACTGAGGTTGAGCAGAGGTGATAGAGAATACCCTTCCGGCCCCCACCACACCTAGGCTATTAAGCATCAAATAAGAACAAGTAACAACAATTTACTGTGTGAAGGGACAAGATCATAGAAAAAGACCATCTTTGAGGTATAGATTCATAGAGAAAACCTAAAGCTGAAGGCCATACAGGAATATTGAAAAAAATCCACCAGCAGCCCAGACCTCACACTAAGTACAAGGAAATATTAGAAGAATTTGAAGCCAGTGTTATATTGAGGGTAACTTTTACCATGAAACTGAAATGTTGACTAGCTCAACACATGACTAAATTGACTCAACTCTGCACACTAAAAGTCTAGTAGAAGTGTTCCATTTCCAGGCACAAATACCATTGCCTCAGTCTCAAGTGTTCTGTACTCAATGTCTGGCTTTTGACCCAGATTTACAACACAAAGAAGAGCAAAACAAAACAAAACAAAACAATAACAACAAAAACACTGTCAAGAGGCACAGCAATCAACAGAACCACACACAGAGATGTATGATTCATATAAGGGAACTATTAGAGAAATAATTTAAAATAATTCTAATTAATATGTTAAAGAAAATAGTAGAAAAGGAGGACAACATGCATAAACAGATGTAAAAATTTCAGCCACAAGATGAAAATATAACAAGGAATCAAATAAAAACACTAAAATAATATTAATTAAAATGGTAAGAATAAAGAATGCCTTCTATACTCATCAGTACTTACAAGCCATTTGATTTTTTTCTCCAGCATGCCTATCAGTACTCTAGGCTGGAGACAAAAATCAAATAGCTTAATAGGAATTACCTAAACTAAAACATAAAGATAAAAAAAAAGAAAAGAATGTGTGTGAGAGACAGAACATTCAGGAGCTGTGAGAAAGTATCCAATTGTCCAATATGCATGCAATTGGGCTTCCAGAAAGAAAGGAGAGAGACCGCTGAAAATAGAAGAAAAATTTAAAAGACAATGGCTCATAATTTTTCAAAATTAATGACATACATCATACCACAGATTCAAGTTCAGAGAATACTAACATTATCAAAAACAAACAAAAAGCCTAAATGTATTATAGTCAAACTAAAGAGAAAATCTGGAAGGCAGCCAGAGGGGAAAAAAAGGCATATAACATACAGGGGACAAACATAAGAATGCATCAGATTTTTTTCATCAGAAATTACACAAGTCAAGGGACATCTTTAAAATGCTGGGGAAAAAACAATTTTTTTTTTTAAACTGTCAACACAGGACTTTATAAAGGTGAAAACATCTTTCAAAAATGAAAGTAAAATAAGAATTGTTCAGGCAAACAAAAATTGAAAAATAAGTTACCAACTAAAATGTACAATAAGAAATGTTAAACGAATTTCTTTAGGCAGAAGCAATATCATGCCAGACAAAAAATTAAATCTACACAAAGGAATGAATAATGTTAGAAATTATAAAAGAGTTATACACTGAGAGATATTAAGTTTATTACATGTCACTTTTACCTCAATTTTTAAAACATGCTTTTTTACTGATGACACTAACTTTGATTATTTGGTATTATGGACAGAATTATGTTCTCACCCCAGAATTCATATGTGGAGATCCTAAACCCCAGTAGCTCAGAATGTGATTGCATTTGGAGGTAGAGTCTTCAGAAAGGCAATTAGGCTAAAATGAAGTCCTTTGGGTGAACCCTAATTCAATATGACTGGCGTCCTTATGAGAAGAGGAAATTAGGACACAGACAACAGAGGAAAAAAACATGTGAAGGGACAGGAAACAGACAGACAGCTACAAGCCAAGGAGAGTCCTCAGAAGAAACCAACCTTGCTGATACCTAGATCTTGGTTCTAGCTTCTAGGATTCTTATAAAAAAAATATGTTGATTAAGTCATCCAGTTTGTGGACTTTGTTATGGTAGTCCTAGGAAACGAATACATATACATGTAAAGGGGTGATTGCCAGGTTTCTCTACACTTGTTATTTTTCCATTTGTAGATATAAGTATCATGTGGAGAGATACTTCAAAACTATGTAAATATCTGTATCATACTTTTGCCCATGATCCAAAGCCAGGTCCTACTACACAATGGACTCCAGAAATAATAATGTTTGCACATAAATGAAGATTTGACTTCCTATATCAATGTTTCTTGCTTGCAACAGCTTTCCAGCATCAGTGCCCTCCTACTAAACCCAAGTCCTACTTCACCCTAACACCATGTTCAAGGAAAACTAAGGGTGAATAGGCCTGCACTGCTGCCTGGCTAGGAGAGAGTTCAACCCTTATAAGGGAAAAAGTTAATACTCTGATGGGCCTTTATAACTTCAAACACTCTGTAGAAGTAATGCATATAACTGATGTCTAATTGTTCCTTTCACTACTGCAAATAGGTCTGGTATTCTCTGAAGCACATCTCAATATTTTTCTGCACTTCCATATTTTGATTCAGATATTTTCATTCTCTTTCAGTTTATCTAGTATAAATCTTACACTGTTATTTGCTATCACTTTAGCCTAACCTATGCCAGAAAACATTTACTAAATATGACCATTTATTCTAGAGAGAGATAAGTTAATATAGCTTGTATGCTATGTGTATCAGTTCTCTTTTTTCCACTGAGATAGCATAAGAATGAGGAAGTCTTTTACTTTTTAAGAATTGTGGTTGAGCAACAGAAAGAATGTACTATCGAAGCTGTGAGACTGTAATATATGAACAATGTAGGACAATACAGATAAAAAAGTGTTTCAATCAGAATTGAACCAGGAGTCACATATTTGAGTTCCAGCATTAACTTCATCATTATTAATTGTATAATGTTGGACCAATCACTACACCCCTCTAAGCCTCAGTTTCCAATCCATAAAACAGGAAAAGTAATAACTCTGTTTGCTTTCCTGTAAAATATGTGATGGGAAAAGAGGGATTTACATCATGCCCAAGGTGGTTTCAGAGACCAAAATAATGTCCCAGCAGTGCTTGGAAAACAGTCCAGTGCTATATTTTTTAAAAATTTAATTTTTACAGGTATATAGTAGCACATTATGAGGTATGTAAGATATTTTGCTACAGGCATACAATGTGTAATAATCACATCAGGGTAAATGAGGTATCCATCACCTCAAGCATTTATCATTTATTTGTGTTACAAACATTCAAATTATATTTAGTTATTTTCAAATGTATAATAAATTAGTGTTGATTTTATTCACCCTGTTGTGTTATCAAATACTAGATTTTATTCATCCTATCTAACTGTATTTTTGTACTCATATACTAGTTCAGTGCTATTTAAATGAGAGAGTTTTCCGTGTGAATTGTTGTTGCTGTTTTTGAAATAGAAAGCAGGGTCTCACTGGTGTATAACCCAGCTTATGGTCAGGGCATGGATTCAGGCTTCTCTTTCTCTCTTCTAATCTCAGAATTCAAGAGGAGAGAAGAGTCCCAGTGCCTAAGAGAGACCCTGAGTTCTATTTCCCCATTCCTAGCCCACAGCCTCCGGTTCACACACCAATGCTACAGGAGTTTTTTTCTCCCCAGGGGCACAGTGGACAGTGACTAGAGGGGTCCCCTCCCCAACTTCATGAAGCATAACTCATTCTTGGGTGGGCTATTTTCCTCCCTGACCATTAAGCCTGATATCACAAACCAACACAATTTGTAATTAATTTAAAGGTTAAAAGCTTTAAACCAAGCAAGAAGCAGTATTCACAGTATGTGAAGATGCTCAGGATTAAAATGATTTGTGTAACAGTTCCCCTACTCAATTAGCCCTGTTAGGTTGTAGCTACCACCTAATAAAAGTTGAAAGCAAGGGCTTTCCTAACACTGCATTCACTTTCAGCCCAGCAGGAAAAGGCATCTTTCAGCTGGGAAGCTACTGAGTTACAGCGGTTGCTTTGGGTAATGTTATTCTAGTACATTCTAACTCAGAGGTGTTAGCTATCTTATGCTAAAAAAAATGTTATAAGAGGATATTTAAGAAGTCTATAAATCAGTATTCATTGTGGCACTAAAGATGCTAATTTTTAAGGAGGATAATGTATGGCATTTTGCTAGAATTCTATATGACCATTTTACTGCAACAGAGTTGTGGAGATAAAAAGAGTTGTTGCATTCATTGACTCTAACTCTCATTTATGAAGGGAAATGCACTTGCATATCTTTTACCAGAGGAAATGTAATTGTTATTCATGTTGAGAAAGAGGTTTATTAGCAATTTTATCATAAAGATTCAGATAGAAATAAAGACATTTGGGTTATTACAAGATATTAATTATGAATGTCAGCCAACTACAGTACTAGGTTTCTTTACGGTATAAGATGCAAAATTATCTGCTGATTTGGTGGCTGCTTATAAACACAGCAGCTTTGGTCTGAGTTCAAGATTTTCATCACATGTATAAATACCCATACAGTGTTCAGATTATGCCTGTATGTTTCTAAGTATGAGGGATCCATAGCCAAGATTCCTTAATTATAAGCTGTTTCATAAAGTTCCTTGTTTTTGTTTTCCTTCTAAGTGACAATAGCATTTTAGAGTGACTATTCACATTTATTCATTCAGCAGGCATTTATTGAGTGATTTCTGTTTCTAGGAACTCTGTTTAGATCTGGGAATAAATTTATTAACAACAGAGACACAGTTTTAGCCCTCATAGGGCAGGAAAGACAGACAAGGAAATTGCAACATGCTGTGTTACTTAGTATGATATGGATGTGCAGAGCACTAGAAAGATTCTAGAAGGGGCATCAGACACAGGTTTGGGGGTGGTCAGAAAAGGTTTCAAAGGAGGATCTACATACAAGCTGAGACATAAAGGGTAGATGATAATTGGTTAGGCAAAGAGAGAGTAGAAAACTATTTTAGGTGGGTATTAAAATGTGAAGAAGGGTCTGAAGGGCAGAAAGAGTCAAGCAGCAGCTTAAAAACTGAGGTTCGATATGTTGGGGGCATTGCGTTTGAGTATGGCCTGGGAAGAAATGAGACTGATGGAGATAGGCAGGAGTTGGTCTAATAAGAGAGTACATATCCTGTTAGGCGGTCTGTGTTCCATCCTATGAGTTTGAAAGATTTTAAGCAGGGTAGTGAAATGATCAGATTAGCTGCAATGTTGGAAATGGATTGGAATGTGACAAAACTAGTAGTAGTTAGGAGGCTATTGCAATAAACCAGACGCAAGTGGGAAATTTTGTGGCATAAAAGATTATGGCTTTTATTTTCTGCATGAACTGGAAAGAGAATATATGAGAATGAGATGAAAGGAGAGATGGTGTTCAAAGATTTGAGAATAGTAGGGAACAAATTGTAACTAGGGAAACAGAAGGATTGGTGGGCAATCCTGAGGGTCCCACTGGTGATGCAGAATATAAATTTATAGTGGCATCTGTATCATTGCATGATTTTCTTCATGATATTCAAAAGTACATATGTAATACGTTGCTAGTGGGCAGCTGAACTCATGGATCAAAAGACAGGAAGAAGAGATGGACAACGGAATCTAAACTGAATAAGAAGCTAAAAAAATACAAAATGGGGCTAAATGATAGGATGGAAATAGTGAGGTCCAGGATTCAAGACCTGAGATCAGACAACATGGAAGGATTAAGAGGAGGGCCAGCTAAAGGAATGCATAAGGCATTGATCTATCACAAAGGTTAGCACATCACTGATGACTTAAATGCCACTGGAAATACACTAGATAGACAAAAATTTTAAATTTTAGATTCTTTTCGGGGAGAATCCTAAATGCGTTTTGAACCTCTGCGAGTGAGAAGTCTGAAGGGTGAAAGGGATATAATCCATTTCTGCTTATTTCCTGTGTCTCTCCTTTGTCTTTTGGTCTCTTCCTGTCTGAGATGCTAATTACGGTTTATGAATCTACAGGGCCAGGGCTGGTACAGGGAAAAAAAGATAAGGGAGCAAGAAAAGTCTTACTGGACTAATATTATACTAAGATGACATTAGTGCTCTCTGAGCTTGGCAGATAGATAGATAGAATGGATGGATGGATGGATAGATAGATAGACAGACGGATGGATGGACAGACGGATGGATAGATAGACAGATGGATGGATGGACAGATGGATGGATAGACAGACGGAGAGATGGATGGATAGATGGATAGAGGGATGGATAGATAGATAGATAGATAGATAGATAGATAGATAGATAGATAGATAGATAATTGAGAGAGAGAGACATATATATCTATATATAATACTGATTCCTTCTTCCATGGGATGCTCGGTGGAATTTTCAAATATACCTCCTCCCCATCATAACACTGAGGATCTCTTACCTCCAGTTCTCTTAACATAGTCAAATGTATCTCCTCTTGTTAGCCAATTATGATTCCTTCCCTCATCTGTGAACATCCAAAGGTACACATTCAACCTCTTACTGCAGAGATCTCATTGCACCTCCAGGAGTCTCCTGGGAAATATCACCTATTGTTCATGTGGCCATATCTAGTTCATGAGCAAATGCACAATCTGGGTTGGCTGTGATAGCCATGGAGGTGTTCTACTCAGATTTCCCTTAAAAGAAACTGCTGTGACTAGCATAGCTGAGCTGCTGCAACTTTGTATTCATTGAGGAATTTATCCCAGGCCATGCTCTCCTGGGCTACTCCTGCACAAAGACTGAGCATGGCCAGGTTACTAGAAAAGAACCAGTACTACCTGATGCAGAATTTGTCTAATGGGCAACCTCAGCTCAAGGGCTCTCCATCGGCCTCGCTGAGGCTTTCTCAGAACTAAGCAGCAACCTCAGGCTCTTCCTACTAAATTCTTCCTTCTCTCTCTCCTTTCACAGGTATTAGACATGGGGGAAGGCTCTTGTTCTCTGTTCCTTTGTCCTTCATAGGTGGTTTTCCATAAATATCTTGCACATTTGAGCCCATCTTGGCATCTGCTTCTTGGAAGACCTTAATGCCATAGTTACTTCCCAACAGTAATTCTACTTATCCTTTAGAATTCACAGGCTCTACTGAATTCTTTTAGAATTCAATCCATTATGGACTCATTCTCCTTACCAAACTCTACAAATAATCTTCTGTCTTAAGAGCACCCAGGATGTGTTTTCATTGGTACGGTAAGACATGCAGACATGGAAATGACCATCATGGAGGAAGAAGTTTGTTATACTCACAGATTGCCAGACACAGGAGGCACAGTAGACCATGCAGGGCCACAGGGAAATACTAGGGTTTGTCAGAGGCAGAGGGAATGAAATGGAGAAGCAGCCAAGAGTCTTTATTGTGGTTTCTGCAGGAAAGAGCCATCAGGAAGGGTAAGCAGATTTAGGATTAATTAGTTTAAATGATTTCAGCAGGCTGGTGTGGAGAGGCTGTAGCTGTCTGGCCCAGGCATGATTAGGGCAGGGGAGTAGTGCCCCAGAAGATGAGAGTCTGATAAAGAAGGCACTTGAGGGCATGAGCTCTAGATTTGTGGGTTTGCGTATGCAAGGCATGGTCCTAATTGAATTGTTTGCTACCTCTAGGAATTAGCTAGCCCTGGGAAAGACAGTCCCTCCAGAGTTAGCAACACCCCAAGATGTCAAAGATAAAAATGCAAAAATTAAAACTCCATGATTAACACAACTTTGAAGTCCTTCTCACTTGTCTTTAGATGAAGGGTAAGTACTCTTCCACATCTATTCCATTATGTACATGTGAGTAAGGGTGATGGTGGGGGAGAGAAGCTCACAGCATTTCAACAAATTATCTCTCTATAAAAGTCCTTTTCAATTTCTTTTGGCCTCTCCAATCTCTTTTATAGACTGAATGTACAGGTAATAAAAATATGTTATTTTTTCCATGAAACTGATTCTTGGACAGCTTCTATGCAAATCCCACATATGTGGTCTAGAACTTCTCTTTGCTCTTGAGCCATACTTGACAGAGTCCCATTTTTATATCCTATTAACACAGCTTTACTCTTGATTTCCCTATATCAGGTATGCTGTTTTCCACTTCTTTGAAAATCTTGCCTATTTTCAAAGTTTCAACTAAAATGTCACTATATTTCTGAAGATTCCTTCAACTGCTCCAGCCAAATGTAATTTCACCTTCCTGCAAGTTCTCACAGATCTTTACTTCTCATTTTCATCTCTATATCAGCTTCTCTTAGCACTTGTACTGTTTGTAAGCTTGATTTTGTTTTGGTTTTGTATTAGGCAACATCATTGCAACAAGTCACACTTTGAGAACTCAAGAGAATATGTTTGTTCTGAAAATCCAGGAATTATTGCCAACCCATGGTTGTCTCCATATGTCTTGGGAAAAATAGGAAAAGGATTTTTTGAGTTGGTGATTTGAATCCAAGACACAAAGATTCAGGCTCTGGTAAAAAGATTGTATAGGCTATATTGGCTGACATAAAAGGTAAGAGCAAGAATGCAGAGGATTTCTATCAACATAAAGAAGAGTCAAAGGTATGCGACTTGTTTGAGTACAAAGATTCTGAAGCAGAGGTACTGCAACTCCTTAGCATTTGCAGAAGCAAAGACTTGACAGTGAAAATTAATTGTCATAAAAATTTTTAAGGTAAAATAAAAAGAATACTGGAACACTCATAAAGGCAAAATTGCTATTTTAAAGTTATCCTAAAAGATATCAAATATTTTGATAAAGAGCTAGAAATTCAGATAATATGGTATAGGTGTAGTGAAGGAAAAAAAGTCAATGCACTACAATTAAGAGTTTAGAAAGAGATCTAAGCATATCTGAGACCTTGATATATGATTAGAGAAGATATATAAAATCAGTTGGGACCGAAATGATGCTGAAACACTTGTCTTTTCATATAAAAAATAAAATCAAATTAGATTTTCATTTCAACCAAACTCAAAAACAAACTCCAAATGTCTATATGAATTAAATGTGAAAAAATATTTTAAAATATTAGAATACAATATAAGAATAAATAGCAAAAGCTTGAATAGGAAAGCATTCTTAACTACAATAATAAAATAGAAATCTTCAAAATTTCTGTGGACCAAAAGATACCATAAACAAAATTAAGTTATATCACAACCTAAGAGAAAACATTTACAGCATATATAGCAGGCAAAACATTAATATTCAAAATATAATAACTTTACAAATCAATTTAGAAAAAGACAAATAGGAAAATGAATGAAAGATACAAAAAGGCAATTCATAGAAGATGAAGCCCAAAGAGAAGATAAATATTTAAAAAGTCCCACCTACCTTTAATCAGAATTAAAATACTAACAAGATACTCTTTAGCCCCATCAGGTTGGCAAAGATATTTATGTCAAAGGTACCAAACTTTGGCAGGGAAAAGGAAAAATGATAACTCTCAAACACTGCTGGTAAAAATATAAATTGGCACAACTGTTTTGAAGTACAATTCAGAAATATCTAGTAAAATTGCATATTTGTATAACCTATGACCTGGAAATTCTACTTTTAAGTATATACCCCAGAGAAATTCTCCCTCATATGCAAAAGACGCTATCTTCAAAGATAGTCATTGAAGCATTGTTGGTTGTAGTATAAAAAAAAAAAAAACCAAAAAGTAGAAAAACTAAAATATCCATTAGGCAAAGAAAGGATAAATAAAGTGGTACGGGACATATTATACAGTAATTAAAAGAGATAAGGTAGATTATACCTATCTACCTATCTATATAAAATGATGCAGATCTGCTCATCATAATATTGACAGAAAAAGCAAATTTCAGTATGATGTTTAATGTATGATATAAATTTTATAAACTAAAAATTCAGTATGATGCTGTATATTTTTTATGAATAGATTCACATGCAGTTAAGGTTAAAAATATGGATTTGATACATACATATCACTGTCACATTCACTGTCACGTTCATGATAGTGTCAACTTCTGTAAAGAAAGGAAGGACATTGGAAGACCAGGAGAACTGAGAAGACTTTAATTTTAGCAGTGACATATTCTTTTAAAAATAAATTTCTTAATCAAATGTGAAAAATATTTTAGTGGTAAGCACAAAAGTGTTATTGTATCACATTCAATTTTTTATATTTAACTTTTTAAAACAATAACTTTAAAAGCTAGGAAGAAAAAGGGAAAGAGGGAGGAAAATTAAAATAGCTTCTAGGGAAAATTACAGAAAAGAGAAGTGGCTTAAGGATTGGAATCTATATAAGAAAACTAGATAAAGATACAGGCACAAATATCACTAAAATTTTCCTTGAGTTCTTGATTATTTCCAAGAGTAGTTGGTTATCTGCAGACATATCTAAACTGATTTCCTAAATGCATAGTTTTTGATTCACATATCTGTCTGTCACCCACAGCATCTAGCACAATGTTTTACACATAAAAGGTGATATCTAGAAGTATGTTGACTGAATCAAATAAATCACCTTCTCATCAGGTTTCCCAAAAGGTGAAAAGATAATTTCCCCAGTCACTTAGAGGATTAGTTGCCCTTTTTGAAAAAGAGAAAGACAACCAGGAGAATGGCCTGGAATGGTGGACATTTTCCCAGAATGCTTTGAGGAGTCCCCACCTGCATGACAGCTGCTCACACAATGGATCTTGCAGACAAATAAAGAAAATTAGCAAATGGGGAATGGGCCAAACCCTCTTCAATGCAAAGGGAGTAATAAAGATATGCTGTCTAACTCTTCCTGCCATAGATCAGTAACAAAATCTTATCTATGAATCACCAATCCTGGGTGGGAAATGCCAATCAACATTAATTTGGTGCTCTGAATGTCCTGGCAGGAGGGACAGGAGGCTATCCTGCTAAATCATATTTAAATTAGCCAAGGTGGGCAGCTGCCTCACAGATAATGCTGGTGGAGAACAATGCAAGACAGATGATTTACCAATTAAATGAATCAAGCTTCCCAAACACTGATGGCCTGAGGACTAGGGTGCCATGTGTTTCTGCCAGACACAGATCTGTTTCCACAACCAAATTAGGCTTCAAGTTTATAACTCATATGTCTAACCCTCCGTACTTTGTCTCCCGCCCCCTACACACATACAAAGTAAATTGCATGTTAATGAACAAAGCTCAGACTTTCTCCATTTCTCCACTTGTCAAAATCTCTTTCACTTTCGCAACCAACAGTAAATCACACGTTCTGCTTGAACAGGCACTCAGACAAAACCCCTGCCAAATGGCTATCATAGGAAAAAGGTCTTTGTCAGAGCATAGGCATTGTGCTTTTAAAAGGGAAAGATAGCCCACATGGAAATAGGAAGGCTTGCTCTGGCTATCCTTTTAAAAATACAACGTGTCGGGTGCAAACTAGAATTCAAAACTGAATTCAAGCACCAGCTTGCAAGGGAGAGCTAAGCCAATGAAAAGCTTAGGGGATTATGTAATAATAATAAGTAACATTTAGGTAGAAAAGTTTGCAGTGTGCTTTATAGTATCTCTTGTTTAGTCTTCAGAAAAGTGTTTAATATTTTTATTATAACCTTTGTTTTACAGATGGAGAATAAGAGAAGTTAAGTGGTTTTCCTAAGATCACATAATTAAGACTTATTAATAAAAAGTTTGATGCTCTTTCTATTATAACATAGTGTCTCTCCAAAATATTTTCTAATTCTGAAATTCTGTGAGTATAAATCTAAATAGCACGAAACAATGGAGAGGCTATTCAAGACCATTTATAGTTCCTATCACAAAAAAAGAAAGAATGAGAAGACAGGAGAGAGCAAAGAATAAAACAAAAACTGAAACAAAAAATAGAAACAGAAAAGAATAAAAAAGAAAACAGAGCATTAAAAATGCATTCAGAGATTAAGAGAGATTTGTTCACCTTGATTTTTGCTCAAAAAGGCAGTCACACACCAATTCATTTCTTTTTCTTTTTTTTGTAGAGACATAAAAGGCACACAATGAAATCTTAATAAATGTATTGGATGTTGCAGCATTAACTGATGAGCCAGACAATGTAAAGACCTCAGACTACCAAATGTTTTGAAAGACGAATAGTGAATGTGAAACTGTGAACCAAAATAGATTTTTAGAATCCTTGAAAAAATAGAGCTAGAGAAAGTCTTTGAGACCATTGATTGCAAATATTTGAGTTTACAACTGAGCAAATGGAGAAAAGAGAAGTGACTCGTCAGTCCAACAAGTGGCAGAATCAGAACCAGACCCCAATGCTTGGGTCTTCTGTCCCTCCTGGCACCAAAGTCACCTATCATAAGTAACTTGAGTTTCAGAGGGGAAGGAAAAGACTACAATGTCCCAGCACTGTTCCAGACACTTTTTAGGGGACTCCAAGACACCTTGTGTAATGCCTATTTTAAGTAGCTGGAAGATTCTATAGCATGGGAAAAGCCCACTGAAGGCAAAAGTAAACATTACCTATTGTGGTCCTGGAAAAGAAAATCATCTCTCATTTATCTCCTGGAGCTGTTTGACGAACTTGGTAAATATATGAACGTGGAAAGCCAATGGGTATACTTTTGTAAAAATCTTTGACACTTTTGTCAATTTTCTAGAAGATGTTTTAGAGCTTATTAAGCATAGAATGAACAAGGGAAAACAGCTTCATTAATATTGTCTTTAAGCCAGTACCTTACACTTATACCTTATATATACTCATATAAGACATATAAAGTACCTCATACAAGAAACAAAAAGTAGATTTTAAAAAACGCTTTTCCTGTATGTTACGTCAATAACAGAGAAACCTCCAGGATATTAATTTGGGAATGTATCTAATATCATTTTTAAGAGATTATTTTGAAAATGGCATACAATGAAGGCAGGTGGAGCTAAACCATTCCACGTAGTAATACACCAAGCTGACGTGAGTAAATTACAGGCTATGAGACTGAGCAGATATCTAGCCTGTGAATTTCCATGTGAGCTTGTACAGGAAATGCATTCAAAGAAAGAAAAATAAATACACATGATACCTATATGATGATGGGTTCACTATCAGTTACAATTTGTAATAGGGTTGTTGGGACCCTTGCATTCATTTTCTGCAATATCTGCTCCACATGCTGATATTGTGGCCAAAAGACCAGCAATTACCTGGACATGATCAGAAAGGAGGCTGGGAATGTACAGACATTATTATCATTCTGTATACAAAACCATGATGTGGCTGCAGCTAGAATGCTCCCTGTAATCTCAATGCATACTGCAAGAGATATTGTGTGACAGTGCTGAAGAAATTCCAGAGAAAAACATGGAAATAAAGAAAAGGAATTAGCTTGGACTAACCTAAACTAACAGTTTGTCTATAAACATGAAGGTGACAGGGATTTAGCAAAAAACATGCAATGTGAAAGGGACAAATATTGAAATATAGAAGTAGGTTTCCTCTCACACACTAATTTTTAAACTTGAATGAGAGCATTTCAAGGAAATAAAAGCATTAGCTCTGTCTCTGCTACTAACTAGCTAATTGACCTTGAGTAGTTTCTTTAAGCTCTCTGGACTTCACTTTCTTCATCTCTCAGATAAAGGGATTGGAATAGATTAAGTCAAATCCAATGCATCAAGGTTTTATTGAGCAACTACTATGAAAATACTGAGAGCTAGAAAACTATATGACACTTGGCCTGTGCCATTTAAAAGCTTACACCCTTTTCATAGGAATAGGATGTATTCTAATTGCTGCATTAATACAGATTAGGATGTATTAAACATCACCCAGAGGTACTACATGCTGACATGAAAACCTGGGGGAGAACGATTGCCTAATAAAGTGATCTCTAAAGTCCAGGACCATGAAGGCAACAGACAAGTCTTTGTTTTTATTTGCAATACCAAACTCAGTGACTGCTTCTTAGAAGGAACTTGATAAATAACTGTTGATCATAGAATGTAGCGTCTAAAATAAAATTTGAGAGATGAGTAAGATTGTTTTTCTGTCAAAGATGAATTTGAGAAAATCACTTACGTTTAAGGGATTTACATAGAAAAATATTTAGATGCAAGGACGTGTAAAGTATTTCTAGAAGGAAGAATGGCATGATTTGCCTGTAGTATAAGGTATTGTGACAGAATTAGAGGCTGGTGTTGAAAAAAATAGGATGGGAACACATAAAAGAGGTACTTTAATTCCAAGGGCACACATTTATATCTGAATCCATTTAATGATTCTAACCAAAAGATCAAAATTGATTAATATCTAGTTTTTTGAAGATTTTTTTGAAGATGGTTTAGAAGAGTTGAGACTAAGAGTCTATTTAAATAGCAAAGTTAGTGCTTCGTAATCCCAAAATTAGTGTTGTGGAATTTATTTATTTAATTTATTCATTCATTAATTCACCAGGGATTGAATGATAGCCTCCTATGTATTAATCACCATGCTAAGGGTTGAGGACTCAGATATGAATGAGAAGTGGTTGTTGACTTTAAGGATCTCAAAATGCATAGACTTGTAGTGAACAAGTTTTATTGTTACCTATGTAACATCTATTCTCCTTTTCATTCTCAACAGTGCCCTGGTTTTACTTTGGGAGCCACCTTTCTCTTTCAGGTGCTGTCTCAGTGGAATAGTCAACCAATGTATCCTACATTTTGGACCAGCAGAAGGAAGTAATGAGAACAGAAAACAAATAAGAAGTGAGTTGGAGGGAGAAGGAGACTTTAGCATCTTCCTGAAATCAGGAAGAAAGTTTCAAGAATAAAGTAATCCATAGGGTCAAATACTGCAGTAAGTTTAATTAGGATGAAGACTGCAAAGATGGTATTAGTTTGGTACTTAGGACATTGGTGACCTCCACAGGTGACTTTCAGGAGAATTATCTGGGGAACTTGTTGATAGAATTTGTGAATCTCCACCTTTAGGGATTCTGATTTAGAAGGAGTAGGAAGAAGGCCTTAGGATCTCCATTTATAACAACCACTACTGATTATTTTGAGGCAGGTAGCATACAGACCACATTTGAAAGAAACACTAGGTAAGTGTGATTTTCATTCAAAGGACAAAAAACATAAAGTTACCTAATTCAGGGACCATTTCAAAGACCAAATCAAATCAGTAGCCTGGCTGATCTGATCGACTGCGCAGAAACTAGCCATTACCATGGCAAAGTGGGGAGGAACAGTCAATAAAAAGCAATTGATGGCCAGGCGCGGTGGCTCACGCCTGTAATCCCAGCACTTTGGGAGGCCAAGGCGGGCGGATCACGAGGTCAGGAGATCGAGACCATCCTGGCTAACACGGTGAAACCCCGTCTCTACTAAAAATACAAAAAATTAGCCGGGCGTGGTAGCGGGCGCCTGTAGTCCCAGCTACTCGGGAGGCTGAGGCAGGAGAATGGCGTGAACCCGGGAGGCGGAGCTTGCAGTGAGCCGAGATCGCGCCACTGCACTCCAGCCTGGGCGACAGAGCAAGACTCCGTCTCAAAAAAAAAAAAAAAAAAAAAAAAAAGCAATTGATTTATTGTTCATATGTAAGATGAATGTAGACATGGATTTTCTTTCAAGTGATTTGGATGAAAAATAAAAGCTGTCTAAGCTCAAAGGAAATGTATGTTTTTATTTTTTTTTAAATAACTTGATTTCCATTACTGTTTTAATAAAATGGGCATAAAACATAGAGCATATATTATATCTCAGGTCTTTCTTCTGCCACATCCTTGATCGTACTGCTCCCCCACTAAGAAGAGTTGGAGAAAGATTGATTAATTCCTTATTTTCATTGTTGCCACACTCCCCTGCATATCTTGATTGCTGTTGGGACTGGAACTAAGAAAATGACACCAGAACAAATGTTGTTGGGGCGTTTCCAACCCATTAGAATTAGTAAATATTTGAAATCTTGCTTGACAGCTGGTTCTCGGGAGATAGCATCTCCCCTTCCGGATTTAACTAAAAAAGTAATTTTTTTTTTTTTACTCATACAGAGACCTCATGCTTTCAGTGTTTGAGCATTAAGATTGATTCATTGAGGTGGAAATTTTCAGGAGTTCAGGTTATCTGGGAACACCTCATTAGACAGAACAAAATCCTTATAATCTCAGATACTAGAAGACCTCAGTTCTAGGCCCTGCTCTGCCCTGAATATAACATGTAATCTGGGAAAGAGTTTTAGCACTTCTGCTATCATAGGTGATTCTAGACTAGAAAATGTTAGTGCTAGATAGAACCTAAGAGATTAGATTATTTGGCCCACTCGTTTTGTTTTAAAGTTGAGAAAACAAAGGGGCTGACCGGGGAAATGACTTCCCCAAGGTCAGTTGGTTGATAGTGGCTCTTGCCAAAGCTGAAACCTAAGCACTCTGGCTTCCCAATTTTATCTTTTTTCCACTGAACCTTATAGCTTTAGGGTATGCACCAGGAAGGCACAGAAATTTCCATTTTAGAAATGAGGAAATTCCCTCAAGGCAATTATCAATTTTCCCAGCATCACATGTTGAAATGGGAGAAGTTCCCTTGTCCCCTGCACAGGGTGTGCGACAGGGGGAGTGGCTCCCTTCTTCAGTGCCCCACTGCTCAAACCTCTAGGGGGAGCATACAGATGGGCAGGTGGTGGGGCTCTGACCACAGAGCAGTGTCTAGGAGTGAATGTTTACAGCAGAAGCCCGGTGGGCGTGTGTTTCAGTATGTACTTTTAGTTTTGCCGTCTACAGGTGGCTTGTGTTAATCAGCTCAGTTAGACCCTCTGCCTTATTGCAAGGACAGAAGACTTCCTGTATCTCAGGTTCTTGCCTTGGTGTACCAGAAAAAATGGGATCACACATGGGCTTAGAGAATGGGTGCAAGGTTTTATTGAATGGTGGAAGTTCCTCTCAGCAGATGGATGGGGAGCCAGAAGGGGGATGGAGTGGGAAGGTGATTTTCCCCTGGAGTCAGGCCGCTCAGTGGCCAGACTGTCTTCCACCTGCCCTGCCCATATTCTTACACTACCAAAGCCATCAAAATGGGAAGGAGAGGGGAGAACAGCAGCATAAGCAGTTGGCAGAGGTAGGGAAAGACCAGCAAGAAGGAAAGAGAGAAAGAGAAAGAGACAGAGAGAGGAAGAGACAGAGAGACAGAAAGTCAAAGAGGGAGTCAGAAACAGAGAAGAGGGAGTCAGAAACAGAGACAAAGAAAAGGAGTCAGAGAGAAAGAGGGACAGACACAGAAAGTCAAAGAGAGTTAAAAAGAGAGGAAGAGACAAAGAAGAAGTCAAAGAGAGAAAGAGAGAGATGGAAGTAGTAAAGAAAAAACAGTGTACCCTATTCCTTTAAAAGCCAGGGTAAATTTCTATCTACCCAGCCAAGGCATATTCTACTTATGTGGATCTTCAACTCATATCTGCCTCTCAAACTGTTTGCAAGAAATAACGAAATCTATGCTAACTTTACAATCCCAAATAGACTCTTTGGCAGCAGTGACTCTCCAAAACCGCCGAGGCCTAGACCTCCTCACTGCTGAGAAAGGAGGACTCTGTACCTTCTTAGGGGAAGAGTGTTGTTTTTACACTAACCAGTCAGGGATAGTACGAGATGCCGCCCAGCATTTACAGGAAAAGGCTTCTGAAATCAGACAACGCCTTTCAAATTCTTATACCAACCTTTGGCGTTGGGCAACATGGCTTCTCCCCTTTCTAGGTCCCATGGGAGCCATCTTGCTGTTTCTTGCCTTTGGGCCCTGTATTTTTAGCCTTCTTGTCAAATTTGTTTCCTCTAGAATTGAGGCCATCAAGCTACAGATGGTCTTACAAATGGAACCCCAAATGAGTTCAACTAACAACTTCTACTGAGGACCCCTGGACCGACCCGCTGGCACTTCCCCTGGCCTAGAGAGTTCCCCTCTGAATGACATTACAACTGCAGGGCCCCTACTTCACCCCTATCCTGCAGGAAGTAGCTAGAGCGGTCATTGGCCAAATTCCCAACAGCAGTTGGGGTGTCCTCTTTAGAGGAGGGATTGAGAGGTGACAGCCTGCTGGCAGTCCTCACAGCCCTCGCTTGCTCTCGGCGCCTCCTCTGCCTGGGCTCCCACTTTGGTGGCACTTGAGGAGCCCTTCAGCCCACTGCTGCAATGTGGGAGCCCCTTTCTGGGCTGGCCAAGGCCAGAGCCGGCTCCCTCAGCTTGCAGGGAGGTGTGGAGGGAGAGGCGCGAGCGAGAACCGGGGCTGCGTACTGCTTGCGGGCCAGCTGGAGTTCTGGGTGGGCGTGGGCTTGGCAGCCCTGCACTCGGAACAGCCGGCTGGCCCTGCTGGCCCCGGGCAATGAGGGGCTTAGCACCCGGAACAGCAGCTGCGGAGGGTGTACTGGGTCCCCCAGCAGTGCCAGCCCACCGGCATTGCGTTTGATTTCTCACCAGGCCTTAGCTGCCTTCCCGCGGGGCAGGGCTCCGGACCTGCAGCCCGCCATGCCTGAGCCTCCCACCCCCTCCATGGGCTCCTGTGCAGCCCCAGCCTCCCTGAGGAGCGCCACCCCCTGCTCCAGGGTGCCCAGTCCCATCGACCACCCAAGGGCTGAGGAGTGTGGGCGCACGGCGGGGGACTGGCAGGCAGCTCCACCAGCAGCCCCGGTGCGGGATCCACTGGGTGAAGCCAGCTGGGCTCCTGAGTCTCGTAGGGACATGGAGAACTTATGTCTAGCTCAGGGATTGTAAATACACCAATCGGCACTCTGTATCTCGCTCAAGGTTTGTAAACACACCAATCAGCACCCTGTGTCTAGCTCAGGGTTTGTGAATGCACCAATTGACACTCTGTATCTAGCTACTCTGGTGGGGCCTTGGAGAACCTTTGTGTAGATACTCTGTATCTAACTAATCTGGTGGGGACATGGAGAACCTTTGTGTCTAGCTCAGGGATTGTAAAGGCACCAATCAGCGCCCTGTCAAAACAGACCACTTGGCTCTACCAATCAGCAAGACGTGGGTGGGGCCAGACGAGAATAAAAGCAGGCTGCCCGAGCCAGCAGTGGCAACCCACTCGAGTCCCCTTCCACACTGTGGAAGCTTTGTTCTTTCGCTCTTTGCAATAAATCTTGCTACTGCTCACTCTTTGGGTCCACACTGCTTTTATGAGCTGTAACACTCACCGGGAAGGTCTGCAGCTTCACTCCTGAAGCCAGTGAGACCACGAGCCCACCGGGAGGAACGAACAACTCCAGACGCGCCACCTTAAGAGCTGTAACACTCACCATGAAGGTCTGCAGCTTCACTCCTGAGCCAGTGAGACCACGAACCCACCAGAAGGAAGAAACTCCGAACACATCCGAACATCAGAAGGAACAAACTCCAGACGCGCCACCTTAAGAGCTGTAACACTCACCGCGAGGGTCCGCGGCTTCATTCTTGAAGTCAGTGAGACCAAGAACCCACCAATTCCGGACACAAGATTCCCCTCAGCATCCACATCATTCTGCCGATCGATGGCCTGCTGGTATCTGCTGGTGCCTGTTGGTGTGCTCTTCAGCTCCTCTACATGTCCAGCTGCTCATTTGTCAGTGTGTTCCCCTCAACGTTCAGCTGCTTTTGTCTCTGCCTGCTAGGGTCTCAGGGGTTTTTATAGGCACAGGATGGGGGTGTGGTGGGCCAGGGTGGTCTTGGAAAATGCAACATTTAGGCACAAAAACAGAAATGCCTGTTCTCACCTAGGTCCGTGGACACAGGCCTGGGGTTGGAGCCCTAGCCAGGGACCAGCCCTTCTCTACCCAGCACTTCCCTGCCCCCTTCCCACATCAATATCTCATACTAATAGCAATGCAAAATTACATACTAATATTCTGCTAATAGAGTATTGCCAAACATTTGAGGTATTTTTCTTCAATATTCCCAGGCCAGCGTTCATTTATTTACTACCCAGCAGATAGAAAAGAAATCTACCATCTTTGGATGGCACATTTAATGATCTCAACATTTTGGAATGATAAAACCACAACCGAAACCACTATCTTCTAACATCCAGCCTAATGTTTTATCCACAATAACACACATTATGTTCCCTGAAGTGATTTAACCAAGGAGAAGCTTTGGATTGTGACATAGAAGTCACATCATGGAGTCTAGCCATTATGTCTGCCCTTTCTTACCACTCCTGCAAAGAAAGCCTTTCGAAATGATCAGTGAAATAATTTGTTTTTAATTCAAAGAAGCATTTCTTGCCTATATTGAGGTCTCTGGGTTGTGTTTTATTTCTTCTAGAAGAAAAGTTTCCAAGTGGGGCTGTTCCTCCATATTTGGCTAAAATTTCCCTCTTAGGGCCATGTCTCTGTGGACACATTAATAGAAAGAGCACTAGTGGACTTGTATGGGATTTGCAAATGCATCCAGAACACTGGATAAATTTATACAAGAAAACACGATGGAGCCTGGTGACAAGAGAAGGAAAAGAAGAGATGGGCAGGTCCCAGAATTCAGAAGCCTCCACAGTTAAGAGTCCTCTGTCTAATAGTATTTGTTTGCTCCACGGCTTAAGCTTTGGTGAAGGAATATAAATAAAGGACTAAATAATTGGACAGAGCTAGTCCTGAGAAAATTAGTAGAAAACATGAAATAATCTGTCACCATAGTCAGTAAAATTTGAGGGACACTTTGAAAGTCTTCTGAACTACCTACAGCTGTAGTTCTCAAACCTCTTAGTCTCAAGGCCCCTTTGTTAGCTCCAAACAAAAAAATGAGTGAGAAAAGTTACGTTGTTTTTGGCAAATCTTTTTTACTTATGGCTTAATAAAAAACAGCTATGTTATCAAATATTCTTCTGCAATCAATCTATTGTGATACATTGTTCTGGTTGAAGTATATAAGAAAACCCAGGCTTATCCAGATATGTAGTTGGAAAAGGGAATATTTTAATAGCTATTTTATATAATTGTGTATATTCATCTTTGACATTACACCAAAACTGAACAAATAGTTTGTGTTTTTTGTGTTTGTTTATTTGTGTTTTTTGTTTTGTTTTGTTTTGTTTTGAGATAGGGTCTTGCTCTGTCACCCAGGTACAGTGGCATGATCAGGGCTCACTGTAGCCTCAATCTCCTGGGCTCAAGTGATCCTCCTACCTCAGCCTCCCCAGTAGCTGGGACTACAGATGCATGCCACCATGCCCGGCTAATTTTTAAATTTTTCTTTTGTAGAGACAAGGCCTCGCTATATTGACCAGGCTGATTTCAAACTCCTGATTTCAAGCAATCCTCTTGCCTCAGCCTCCCAAAATGTGGGGATTACAGACATTAGCCACTGTGCCAGGCCAAAACTGAACAAATAATTTCTTGAAGATTTATTGCAATGTGGAATCTGAAACTGTATTAATTTTTTACGCTTTGCTACATCAAAATCCTTTGGTCTATTTTGTACATCAAATGGATCTTTTACTCACATGACTCACATATGATTTGTAGCACCATGTATTGGTGATACGGAAAATATTGGTTCCTTGAATTGTTTAGATCTTCCAAATGTTGACATATTTCATTGTCCAATATTGAAAACATCTCATTTATTAATGTCATTACCAATCTCATCCAAAAAATGTCATTAACTATTGGGAAACTGTCAAGTTTATGGCACCAGATACAGTTTTCCAGAATTCTAAATTTTGCTTGAAAGCATAAATATTGACCAGGCGTGGTGGCTCACACCTGTAATCCCAGCACTTTGGAAGGCCGAGGTGGGTGGATCACCTGAGGTCAGGAGTTTGAGACCAGCCTGGCCAACATGGAGAAACCCCTTCTCTACTAAAAGTACAAAAATTAGCTGGTGTGGTGGTGGGCGCCTGTAGTCCCAGCTACTCAGGAGGCTGAGGCAGGAAAATCTCTTGTACCCGGGAGGCAGAGGTTGCGGTGAGCCAAGATCATGCCATTGCACTCCAGCCTGGGCGACAAGAGCGAAAATCTGTCCCCCCACCGCCCAAAAAAAAAGAGAAAGCACAAATATTAGCATTGGTGGGGGAGAAATACTGTTAGTTGTTTTCTTTGAAGTAACAGGCTTACTTCATTCTTAAAGAAATGTCTGCCAAATATCCAAGTCTCAATAATCATTGCTTGTTGGTCAGTAGCTCATTCTAGTATAAATAATGGCACATGAAAAGAGCAAGTAACTCAGCTCCCAATTTATACAATTGCACAATTGCTTGGCCTGAGACAGTCATCATACTTTGCTATGCATTTATGTGTTTCATACGTACTTTCCATGTTGTCAAACTATTAAAAATATATTAATTCTAGGCTCAAGATTTAGTAAAATTAGAAATTTTGCTTCTTCATCAAGAACATTTTAATATTAAACAGGTTTCCACTTTCTACGTTTCCTCCATCCTTCTTTCACTCCTTCCTTTTCTTCTTCTTTTATACCTTTCTCCCTCCCTTCTTTCTTCCCATCTTCTGTGAGTGGGAAGTGAGAAAGAATGCAATGACTGCCAGTGCAGCTTGGAGGCATTGCCTTGATGTAAGGCACCAACAGTTGACCCACAATTTCTCTGTAACATCATTGCAAACATCAAGACAGTGAAATATAATGCTTTTTATCATTATGAAAATAGTTTTGACAATAAAATGGGGAAAGATAATCATTTCAACAAATTGTACTGGAACAACTGAACAACCACATGTAAAAAAATGAATCCAGACACAAACCTTACACCCTTCACAAAAATTGTCTCAATACACATAACAGATTTAAGTGTAGAATGCAAAACTATAAAACTCCAAGAAGGTGACATAGAAAAAAAATCTAGATGGCCTTTTTAGGTATAACAACAAGGCATGATCCATGAAAATGAGAATTAATAAGCTGACTAAAATCTTAAAAATTCTGCTCTGTGAAAGACTGTCAAGAGAATAAAAAGGATACACCACAGACTGGGCAAAAATATTTGCAAAACACAGAGCTGATAAAAGACTGTTATTCAAAATATACAAAGACCTATTAAAATCCAAAAATAAGAAAATGAAAAACTCAGTTAAAAACTAGGCCAGGTCAGGCGCTGTGGCTCACACCTGTAATCCCAGCACTTTGGGAGGCTGAGGTGGGCAGATCACCTGAGGTTAGGAGTCTGACACCAGCCTGGCCAACATGGCGAAACCCCATCTCCACTAAAATACAAAAGATTTTCTGGGTGTGATGGCGGGCGCCTGTAATCCCAGCTATGCTGGAGGCTGAGGTAGGAGAATCGCTTGAACCTGGGAGGCAGAGGTTGCAGTGAGCGGAGATTGTGCCACTGCACTCCAGCCTGGGAGACAGAGCGAGACTCCTTCAAAAAAAAAAAAAAAAAAAAAAAAAAAAAAAAAACAAGGCCAAAGACCTTAACAAGTACCTCACCAAAGAAGACATACAGCTGGCAAATAAGCATATATGATACAATACTTTGCATTATATATCATTAGGGAAATGAAAATTAAAATGGCAGTGAGATAACACTACACATCTTCCAGAATGGCCAAAATCTAGAATGCTGACAACATCAAATGCTGGTGAGGACGTAGAGCAACAGGAGCTCTCATTCGCTGCTGGTAGGAATGCAAAATAGTACTGCCACTTTGAAAGACAGTCTGGCAGTTTTTCACAAAACTAAACATACTCTGTCATATAATCCAGCAATCACACTTCTTGGTATTTACCCAAAGGAGTTGAAAATTTATGTCCATATGAAAATCTACATGCAGATGTTTATAGCAGCTTTATTCATGATTGTCAAAACTTGGAAGCAACCAAGATGTTCTTAATCAGGTAAATGGATAAATAAATTATAGTACATCTGGACAATGGTTATTATTCAAAGCTAAAAGGATATGACCTATCCAGAAAACAAAAGACATTGAGGAAATTTAAACGCATGTCACTAAGTATAATAAGCCAATCTGAAAAAGCTACATATTGTACAATTCCAACTACACAACACCCTGGAAAAGGCAAAACTATGAAGACAGTAAAAAGTTTAGGGGTTGCCAGAAGGTAGTGAGAAGGCAGAGATGAACAGGTGGAGCACAGAGAATGATTAGAGCAGTGAAAGCATTCCGTATACTACTATAATGGCAGATACATGTCATTATATATTTGTCTAAACCCACAGAATGTACAACACCAAGAGTGAACCCTCATGTAAACTGTGGACTCTGGGTGGTGTGTCAATGAAGGTTCATCGGTTGTAACTAATGAACCATTCTAGTTGGGAATATTAATAACAATGGAGATTATGCATGTGTGGGGGCAGGGTTTATATGTAATATCTCAGTCACTTCCTCACAATCTTGCTGTGAACCGAAAATGGCTCTTTAAAAAAGCCTTAAAAAACAATTTTGACCTCATAAACCCTCTAAAAGTGTCTCAGAGACTCAAGAGTTCCTTAGACCACACTTTGAGAACTGCTAACCTATACTGTCTACTTTTAAAATATTCCCTTGGCAAATGCATCAGAATCACTTGTTATTTTTTAAATGACAAATAAAAATTTTAAATATTTATGGTATATAGCATATTCTGACATATATATATACATGGTGGACTAGCTAAATCAAGCTAATTAACATATAAATTTGCATGTGAGCATTACCTCACATGCATCACTTTTTGTGTTGAGAACGCTTGAGATCTACTCTCTTGGCTATTTTCAAGTATCCAATATTTTGTTATTAACTATAGTCACCTAATGTACAACAGATCTCTTGAACTTATTTCTCTTAATTGAAGTTTTGTATCCTTTGGCTAATATCTGCCTAATCGCCTCTACCCCCAGCCTCTGGTAACCACCGTTCTACTCTCTACTTCTATGAGTTTGACTTTTTAGGAGTCCACATATAAAAGTGATCACATAGTATTTATCTTTCTGTGCCTGGCTTACTTCACATAATATAGTGTCCTCCAAATTCATCATATTGTCAGTTATGACAGAATTTCCTTCTTTTTTAAGGGTGAATACTATTTCATTGTGTATATATACCACATTTTCTGTATTCATTCCAATGGACACAGCTTAATTCCATATCTTGGCTATTGTGAATAGTGCTACAATGAACATGGGTGTGCAGATATCTTTTTAACATATTAATTTCATTTCCTTTGGATATGTACCAAGTAGTGGGATCGCTGGATCATATGGTAATTCTATTTTTAATTTTTTGGGGAAACCTCCATTCTGTTTTCCATATTAACTGTCACTCATTTACATTCCCACCAATAGTGTGCAAAGGATCCCTTTCCTCCTCATCCTTACCAACACTTGTTATCTTTCCTCTTTTTGATAACAGTCATTCTATCAGGTGTGAGGTGATATACCATTGTGGTTTTGATTTGCATTTCCCTGATGATTAGTGACATTGATAATCTTTTAATATACCTGTTGGCCATTTGTATGTCTTCTTTTGAAAAATGTCTATTCTGGTTTTTGCCCATTTTAATTTAATTGTGTGTTCTTGGCATCTCTGCTATAACTCTATTGACCATAAATGCATGGATTTATTTCTAGGCTCTCTATTCTTTTCCATTGGTCTGTGTGTCTGTTTCTATGTCAATACCATGCTACTTTGATTACTATAGCTTTGTAGTATATTTTTAATCAGGTAGTGTGATGTCTCCAGTTTTGCTCTTTTTGTTCAAAATTCCTTTGGCTATTCAGGGTCTTTTGTGGGTTCATACAAATCTTAGGATTTTTTTTTTTTTCTGTTTCTGTGACAGTGTCTTTGGAATTTTTATAGGAATTGCACTGAACCCACAGATCCCTTCAGGTAGTATAGCCATTTTAAAAATATGAATTCTTCCAATCCATGAACATGGATATTTTTTCCTTTACTTGTGTCTTCTTCCAGTTCTTTCATCAATGTTTTATAGTTTTCAATGTACAGATATTTCACCTCTTTGGTTAAATCTATTCCTAAGTCTTATTTTATTGCAGCTATTGTAAATGGAATTGCTTTCTTAATTTCTTTTTCATTGTTAGTTTATAGAAACATTACTGAGCACCTGAGCAAACCCTACTTACCTTAAACAATTTAATTGCTGTCTTTAGACAGCTTGTTTCATCCTTAGCTTCCATTCTCAACTCCATTTTCCTATGCCCTCAGCACACAGTCCATGTGCAAAGACATATTTCTCTTTTTTTCTTTCCACATCATATAATCTACAAAGGAGATGAGCATGCATGGATTGAAAAAAAAAAGGATGCTTTGTTCAGCTTTGAAGGCACTAACTAGAACTTGGGTAACATGTATGGAATAATTAAAGCTGCTATGATCTTTTATGCTCCAAAAGCCTTTTACATTCATGTCATCTTTGGTCAACAGCTTTACAGTTCTAACAAGCAATTTTCGCAAAGCACTATTAAAGGCCGTAAACTATCTTCTTCTAATTCTCCTTAAAAAATTTCTTAAGTTGCTCTGAGTTGAGAAGGGATGGGGACAATGTATCTTTAAATAATAAAGAAACAATTTTAATTTTCTCATAAACATCATCCCCTCTGCTGGCTGCTACAAACTTTAACAGCCCAGCAGCCAGAGAAGCAAGTAGGGCAAACAATACAAGAAGAGTCATTATCGTAACTAAATTAGACCGTTTGTTTTCTTTCCCTCAAATCAAATTGTGTAGGAGCTGCTTTATTGCAAAACAGACATTAAAATTCCAGCAAGACCTCAGAGAGAAAGTAATTTCTATTTTATCAGTGCTGTAAAGCTGTCTTTATGTTCTGAAGCAGGAAATATTGCAAGGATATTTATAGCTTCAGCTCCAAAGCCAGTTTGAATAGAAATGTTACCGCGGTCGCTGGAGCTGTCATACTGCTCGGTGGAGCAGGGAATTTTAGTGAATTTGTGAATTACTGTTCTGGTCTTGACAAGTCTCTCAGTGAAGCTGGTGTGTGTGTCTGGAGCCGTTTGGTGTTTTGGGAGATAATGATTAAAGACTTGGATTAAGGAAAGATTTAAATGATATTCTACAGCTAATCAGTTTTGCTCGTCAAGTCCTCCTGGAATAAAGGCAAGGTTTCCAAACTTTGCCATCCTTAGCAATTGGTGACCCAGCAGGAAGCATTCTCCAGCCCTCTTCACCTTCCTTCTCCCTTGCAGCCCTCCCCTTTCTGTCCTTGACCTTCCCATCTTGGTGTCCCTACTCCTCTTCTGTCTGAACTGCTTACCAAGATTTGACAGTTATTTACCATCCTGCTCCTCCTCTGGGGTCTGAGGAAATGATTCATTTTTGTATCTTGCATTTATTTTAACCTTCTGGTGAAATGCTCCAGGATTCTACAAACATTATCCTCACTGTCAAAGTGGAAAAAGCTTTCTTTGTTTCACATGGGGAAGAACTGAAGTCTAGACATGGGAAGACTGAGGTCACCCAGAGCTTCAGCAGAACAGATGGGATGTGCATCAAGTTCTCTCATTTTAGTTCGATTTTTAGTTCACCATTGCCATTTCCGTATCACGCCAGCAAAAACAGAAATTTCGTGACTGAGGTGTAAATAGACAACCATTTGAACTAATTTATCTGAAAGTGGGGCAATGAATAAAGCCTTTTAATAGCTCCAGGGCCACCCCAGGCTAGGAGGGAAGACAGAGCTATCCTGTGCATGGGCATATTATTGCTCTGAAAGCCAGCGGCAATGGGGGTGGGGAATGGCTCTTCACAACTCTACCAGTCTTGGGATGAAAGAGACCATGGAAGTGTGCAGTGGTCTTTTTAATATAGCTGCTCAAAACTAATCAAAAGGGCTTTGCTTTCTGTTTGTGGGTCAAGGGTTTGATTTACAGCACACTGCTCATTGCCTGACCACTCAGGTCAATAGCAGAGTTTAATTCCCGGTTAGGCAATCTGTAGTGAGGTTTTTCCCCAGAATCACATCCGAGAGAATCCTTTTGCTTTATGGGACAAAGAACTTACCCTCTGCTCAGAACCTGCTGTTTCGGTGAGAGATGAAGATGCTTTTTAAATCTCCCTAAGCTTATATAGAAATAACAGGCCTTGTCTTAGGGAATGTCCAGCTGTGGAGACTTGGTCATTCTTACCAAATTTTTCAATGCACCTGCATCCTTGACTTGCCATTGAACCAGAGAACATAAGGGCTAAAAATGACTCTAGAGGCCCTCTAAGACAATCCACCATTTAAAGGCAGATTAGAACTCAGGTCTTTTGTGCTCAGGGCCAGTTATCTTTCCTCTGCACATGTGCTAGCCAAAGCAGTGGCCAGCAGCCACATGTGACTGTTGAACCCTTGAATATGGCTAATCCGTTTGGACTAATCCATGTTGGCTAATCCAAATGGAGATGTGCTATAAGTGAATAGACTATGACAGATTTCAAAGACCTACTAGAAAAACAAGAACGTAAAGTAGCTCAAAAATACTTTTTTATATTGATTACATATTGAAATTATAATAAATATTGAGTAAAATAACATATATTAGCATTAATTTCACTGCTTTCTTTCTTAATGTGGCTACCAGAAAACTTTAAAGTATATATGTGGCTTGCATTATCTTTCTATTGGACAGCACTGTTCTGCACAACTTTCCATCTTGACTACGGGCTCAGAAAGAAAGCAATGAGTGCCCAGACTCTCAAACCCTCCTGTAAGGATCCAACTTAATTCTGATTAGGCTACTCTGCTCCATTCCTATTGGCTGTCTGAACTCATCTTCCTTTAAGCAAAAAAACAAGGAAAAGTGTCCTGTTCTACATCCCAGGGCTGTGCAAAGTGGTCATCTCTCTGCGAAAGTTCAGAGGATAGTGAATGGTTTGAAATTCAAGTTTCCAGTGAGAATATCCCAAATTAAAGATAATTCAGACATAGAATTATTAATTTCCTCTTATCCATGTCTAGATTTTTCTAATTTTTCCATTTCTGATTTTTAGGATGAGCTTTAAAAAGGATGTATTCAAACATAGGTTATATGGATACTCAGCTTAGGGAACACAGCTCTTCCATCGACTAAAGCCTACTACTGTGGTTTGGCTCTGTGTCCCCATCCAAATCTCATGTCGAATTGTAATCCCCACATGTTAGGGGTGGGACCTGATGGGAGGTAACTGGAACATGGGGGCAGATTTCCCCCATGATGTTCTCATGAGAGTGAGTGAGTTCTTATGAGATCTGATGGTTTAGAAGTGTGGCACTTCCCCCCTTGTACCCTCTCTCCTGCTTCACCATGGTAAGACGTGTTTGCTTCCCCTTCACCTTCTGCTATAATTGTAAGTTTCCTGAGGCCTCCCAGCCACGCTTCTGAACAGCCTGTGGAACTGTGAGCGAATTAAACCTGTTTTCTTCATAAATTACCCAGTCTCAGGTAGTTCTTTATAGCAGTCTGAGAGTGAACTAATCTCCCTGCTTTCTATTTTCTTTTATTTCCCTTCAGATAGCACCCTTGTAATGATAAAGTTGCTGCCCATAGATAACCTGTATTTCCTTTTTTAACTTAAATGCTTTGGTTATTGGAGTGCTGCTAGGTAAATATAATCCTTTGCCTTTCAAAATTAGCTATTTTGGCCTTATTTATTGGCATCAGACATTGGAGATGATACCTATGTCCTAAGCAATATCTCTGGCTTCATGAAATTAGAAATGCTTTGATTCAGATGGATTCTCAATTGATAAATAGCTGTTTCATATCACGGACTGTGAAAATGATTCCCAAACTTATCTGCACATTAAAATCACCTGGTGATCTTTTAAATCTTCCAAAGTTCAGAATATACCCCAGGCCAATCACATCATCATCTCTCAAGTGTCAGTAGTTGTTGAAGCTTCTCAGGTGATTCCAATGTGCAGCCAAGTTTGGCAGTCACTGGCTTGTCAGAAAGCTAGATGAGAACCCAAACACCAAACACCTGCCAGAGTACAAGCCTATTTAAATTATACTATGTTATCTTCCTAGAGGGTCATTGTTTCTTCTTCCTTCATAAACCTTTACCACTTTTTTGTTGTTTTCCTTGTTATAACAAAGTAAAGGGTCTTAACTGGGGAGACTATAGAGCAGATAATGTATGTGAATAAGAACATGATTTCTACCCACTGCTTGCTAAGAGATGGCTGTTGTGTTGCTGGGAAGGATTAATTTAGAAAAAATTTAAAATAGAATATAATATTAAAAAGTCAGTATTTATATAAACAAGTTTCCAATTTTATTCCTTTGCATTAGGCTTCAATATCACATTGCTTACATCCATGGTACCTATGCATATCATGACTTTAGTAAAATTTCTTAAGATTGTGTTGGCCACACCTAACTTCGTCCCCACTGAAATGCTCTAAAACCACATAGATCCCAGAGGAGGTAATACTGCTGAATTCAGAAATAAAAGCTGAGAAAAGACACTTCCTATAGATTTCCTCTTTAAAGGACTTCTGTGTTCAGAGTTTCAAGGACTGATTGTACAAACAGACTATGATTATCACACTAGGATATGTGTCAGAACCACTTGTCAAGGTGAACATACCTGCCCAGGTCATGGTGGAGTTCTTGATTCCAGTTTATTTTAGCTACCATAGATATTGTCTGAATTCTAGTCCGACTTCAAATGCAAAACAGAACCTGGATGACAATGAACAAGTATCTGCAATATATACTTTAGGAGGAGGCATTAGGCCTATCAGCATGCTCTACAACAGCGCCTATTGATGCACCTGTGTCTTTTCAAAACATAGACCCCAGTTAGTTAAAGACATATGGGAAGTGACTAGTCCAGAAGCTGTATCCCTTAATTTCTGATGAAACACTAAGCTACACATCTCTGCTTTTCTGTCTATATCTGCTCTTATTTCACAATTTAAAATCTTTTAAGGAGCATGCATTAAATGCCAATTATGTACATATAATTATAAAAAATATACATCTATAATTTGATCTTCATAATTACTCTATGAAGTAGGGTACTGCTTCATACTGTGAGGCACATACTACATATTATTAAGTATGTTTTATTCTGCCTATATTACAGATAAGCATTGTAGAGAAGAAGGGTCAAATAAATCGACCAAGATTTTGTGGCTAGCAAATAGTGTGACCACAATGTAAAGCCAAGTCTCTCTGATTATAGGGTCCATGTTCTTTTTGGTAGGCTATGTCTTCCAAAACTGGGGAGTGACTTAATGAGGAAGGATTGTGTGGCATAGGTGAGATACAATAACAGGGCAGTAAGGGATGCTTCTACGAAAAGACAGTCAAATTATTCTTTTCCTTTTCATTTTCGATTTTTATTTTGCAATTGTGTGCCATCACAAAGCTAATGCAATCAGGACTTATGTTCTGTATTTACACAGCTGATTACAAGTACTTTCATGGTTCATGATCTATCAAGTTTCTGAGAGTTAATGCAATTTCTCCTGGGGTGTAGGAACACCACATTGGGATACTGGGGGGAATTCTCTGATGAATGAACATGCTGGGCTGTGAACAAGTGCACACACTCCACAGAACCTCACTGAACCTGCTTAGGTTGCCTATATATCAGGGGCTATATTGAGCTCTGTGGCCCTTTTGATTTGTGCTGAATTCTTATGGCTCAGTCCTTTACATTCATTCATTCATTATTTAAACATATTTTTTGGTTTCTCTATGTGCCAGGCATTTCTTTTATGTGCCATTCTCTTTGCTGGGGATGCAATAACGAGCAACATAGCAAAAATCCCTGCCTTCTTGGTGCTCACATTCTAGCAGAAAGACAGGAGACAATTAAAAAGACAGCTAAGTTAAATATAGACTATGCTGGACAGTGATAAATGCTGTAGAAGAAAATAGAGAAAAAGGTTAGTTGTATGTGTGGGGATGGTGGGCAATTTAGATGGTGTAGCTAGAAAGGACCTCAAAGAGGTGAAGGATCAAGCACTGCAGATGTCTGGGGAAGTGTGTTTTGTGCAGAGGGAATAGCAAGGGCCAAGGCCTTGAGGTGGAAGCTTGTGCTTAATGAGGTCAGATCTGTAAAACCTTGTATATGATTAGAAGGATGTTGCCTTCTACTCTGAATGAAATGATTGTAAGCTGAAGAATGACATGATTTGACTCAACTTTTACAGGGTTACTGTGGCTACTATATGCACAGTAGGCTGAAGGTGAGCAAATTCACATCAAGAAAGACTCTTGCAATAATCCAGGTAAGGGCTGACAGTGAACTGGGCCAAAAGGACAGCAACTGGAGGGGTAAGATGTGGTCAGATTCCAGATGTTTCTGAAGAGCTAGCCAACAGGATTTGCCAGCAGATTGGAAGTAGACTGTGAGAGAGAGAGCATTGAAGATGAATCTGTGGTTCTGGACATGAGCAATTGGAAGGTTGGAATTGCTATAAACTAAGATGGAGAATACAGCAAGTGCAGCCAAGTTCTGGGGAATATCAGGAGTACAGGATTGAAGAGGTGGAGTTTGGGAAGCTTTTTGGACAGTGAAGTAGAGCTGTGGAGAGCTAAGGAGAGTTTTCTGGGCTGGAGATCTACATTTGGGGTCATGATGATGGCATTGACAGCCATTAGACTAGATAATTAAACCAAGGAAATGTGTGTAGACAGAAAAGAGAAGAAGTATAAAGACTGAACTAGGAACACTCCAATGCTCAGAAGTCAGTAGATAAGAAGAAACTGAGAGAAGTAACTGAGAAAGAGGTGCCAACAATTTGAAAAGAAAACAAGAAGAGGGGATGCTGTCCTCAGAATGACAGGAGGGTGCTGGAAGTCAAGTGATGCTGGAGGTTTTTGACAGGTCAAGTAAGAAGCCTGCTGAATATGGACTGTGCTCATTATGTTAAGAGCACTGGAGTGAGTCAAGGGACCTGGATACAAACACTGACTTCACCACAGATTTGCATGTGGCCTTGGGAAAGTTAAGGAAACTCACCCTCCTCAGCTGGGAAAAATGACTATTGCAAAGGTGAAATAAGATAAAGTGAAAAGTACCTAGAAAAGTAAGAATGTAGCACAAAGCAGCTACTCAACAAATATCACTTGACTCTAAACTGAATCCTAAATATTCAGAGCCCAGTTATTTTCTTACTCCTCTGCTTGACTGATTTCCTGTGCCTTCTGACTGGGTCTGCAGAATCAGATTATCGTTATTTGACCAGTGTGACACAGATGGGTTGAACTTCTAAGCACTCCTTCTAGATTAAGCCTTGGGCTTACACTGTTCTATTATTCTGTCACAACTGATTGCCCTAGATTCCCACGTCATTCATTTAACAGTATTTTTTGACTGCCTACTATGCATATGAGACCCTGTGCTAAAAACTGGCCGTGGCCCCTTGCACCTCTGACCTTACGAAGCTATCCATGAATCCTCTATGATAAACTTACACTCCCATATCTGCTTTCCAGAGGCTTAAATGGACCCCCCCAATTACTACATATTAGTCATGAAATATTGGAAAAATTATTTAATTTCTTGACCTTTTTGTCTATAAAATATAAATAAAAAATTGCTATGCTGGAAGACAGGTATCATTATCCACATTGTAAAAATAAATTACACCAAATATGTGAGGTATCTAGGTCTTCGTCAGTTATACAGTAGTTACTGGGTGCATGTTAATTTCGCCCCTCCACCCGACTCCATGCTGCTGCCTCCCAAGATGTGGTGCTAAGCTTTTGCAATTATCCAAATGAGTCTTGGAGGGTGAAAAATATGCACTACAAATTCTCACACACTCTGTTAGGCTGGGATTTACACTGTTGGATTAGCTGTGTACATTGAGAACAAACATGCTCCTCAATTACTATCTTTTTTTTTTTTTTTTTTTTTGAGACGGAGTCTCGCTCTGTCACCCAGGCTGGAGTGCAGTGGCGCGATCTCGGCTCACTGCAAGCTCCGCCTCCCGGGTTCATGCCATTCTCCTGCCTCAGCCTCCCAAGTAGCTGGGACTACAGGCTCCCGCCACCACACCCAGCTAATTTTTTGTATTTTTTAGTAGAGATGGGGTTTCACTGTGTTAGCCAGGATGGTCTCGATCTCCTGACCTCATGATCCACCCGCCTCGGGCTCCCAAAGTGCAGGAATTACAGGCGTGAGCCACTGCACCCGGCCACTAAGTCTCTTAGTCACATGGATAGGCAGCCTACATGCACATGCATAAACCAACACATGCATATATTCATACATGCATACATACATACATGCATAAATACACACAGACACCTGGTCCAGGTTGGCATAGTAACAAAAATTTTAGAATAAAAATCAGCTAATAATTCCAACAGCTTTTCACTGGGATTTAAGTCAAAACTCCTGAGGAGGAAACAGAAGAGAAAATACTACTCCATCCCTAGGTTAGCCTGGAGTTTTCCTATCTATTTTCTTTCTTTGACTCATGATCTTGATTAAAAGGAATCTACAACTAAAACCCAGAACTTTACCCAGTCCTTGCCCACTGTGTATACATGTTCTGAAGATGATCTGAAGATCTCTCCAGAATGAAATGATGGTGTTTCTGGGAAGAAACTGAAGGAAATACTTTTACTAAGTTATTTTTGCAGTGATGAAAGGTCATATTCTTTTCAAGAAAAGACTCCAAGTTTTATTTCAGTGTATTTATATAAGGACATTCTAAGGAACTAAGAAGAGGTAGAAATTTTTAAATAGCAAGATGCTAATATTTTGAAAAATAAATCTTGATTTTTTTTCATTAATGATACTTGTGAATTCCTGGTTAGATTGACCACTCTTGATTGATTTGGCTTAGAAATGAACTTATGCAGACTTAATTATACCATGAGATCAGTGTATTCTTATTGATTGTGCCTTTGACATGATTAGCTATATTAGATTATGATGTCCTCATCTCCCAAAAATCAAAGCTAGGATGGGCTTTCTGTAAGGGCCATTAGTCATATGTGCATGGCACATACTGTATTTTTTTTTCATTATATAATAGGCAAGGGAGAATGCAAAAAGAGCATTAGCTTTATGCCATTCAAAAATCTATCTTAGAAATAAATCTGATGGAAACAGATTATCTCTCCTTCACATGCAACAGATGCTCAGTTGGCATGAATTGCATTGAGGAGGGAGCATTCCTATCGAGTGCTGTATGGAGTGGACCTGGGGTCCCTTCACAGGTCATCCTAAGAGCCACATCACTATCCATGGTCTAAGTGCCCTAGTCAGTCACTGAAAGATGAGGGCAAATGAGCTGTGGTGTTTCCGAGTCCAGGCTCCAGTGGATTAAATCCCTGTGCCCTGCAGGCAACTTGGGACTCCATCCATTTTAGGCAGTACAGCATTACTAATAACAAGAACAGCACGGAAAATATGAGACCCAGGCAGCAGTGGCAGGGAGAATGAGATGCAGAGCTGTGCATGCTGGGAAGTGCTGGCCTTAATTAGAATGTGCATGTACAGTATTTATCTTTCTCCCAAACCTATAAATAAGGCCAGCGCTATGGCGATTACTGATGTCTGCCGTCATTTCACAAGGCCTCTGTTTTGATGGAGCACCAGTTGCTGCAAAATAATATTTCTTTCCTTTCCAGTCTGCATCTGCTCCTGTATGGAAACCTCTCAAAGGCTTTCAGAGCTGTGACTGGACAGGAGAGAAGGGGTGGACATCATCTTCTGGGAATTCAAGTAAGAACTGCTCTTTGGGACCCTTAACTGCAATCAGAGAAAGATTGTAACATGTAGAAAGGAGCTTACAAGACAAAACAACAACAACAACAACACTCTTATCCAAAAAGAGACCTTCATTGCCATCATCCCTGAAGGCATTTTTCCAGCTCCTCCTTGAATACTTTCAGTGTTGAGCCATTCATTGTGTCCAGTGGTAGTCAACTCCAATTTTGGATGCACTAAAACCTTCTTCTGAATACTGAATAAGTCTGCCTCTCTACCATTTGCCTCTGTTAATCTAAATATACAAACTTCAAATGGAAACTTTCTCAATTGTCCCAAGTATTTATCTGATTCTTCTATGTGTCCCAATTTTTTACATAATACATAAAAATAATTATAAAAAGTGCTTACTATTATAATTTTTTATCAATTCATCTATATTTTCCTTTCTCACAACAGGAGTTTTGAGAAAGAGTCTGATGTGTACTTCAGGAGTCACCTAGAACAGTGTTGTTCATCTTTCATAAAGGAGAATAAATATATCTGCCCTTGAAGGACTCTCATCTGAGAAGTGAAAATTCATAAAACTTAAATGGTCCATAGGAGGGTGATTTAAATTTTATCACACGTGGGCATCCCCTGACCCCACTGAAAAGTTAAATGAAAACTACTATTGTTTGCTGCTTAGTTTCCCTCTGACCAAAACTAGAGAGTAAACTCCTTAAGAGTAAAAGTTGGTTTTATGGGTTTTTTGTTTAATATCAGTATTTCGCAGTACATGTACATAGTAGAACTTCAATAAGTAATTAATTATAATTAAATCTATTCATTTCATGGGGTAGGAAGGTATTCCTCTTAATTACCTCACTTCCAGAGGTTCATGTTTTCTCAAAATAAATACTTCTGCCCTCTAGCCTGTTCTCCACATGTGAGGTTAAGGAAAAATAAAAGGCAATGCATGAAATATACTCACCCATGAGGTCATCTTCAATGAATGTTTATTCATAAGGGAACCACCCTGTTCTAAGAACCAAACCATCTCTCCGCTTCCTGTGCCTGAGGAGACATCATCAACTCTTTCTTGGAAGATATTTCCTGTCCAGTGAGACTAGGACAATCTATGTGCTATCACCATTCCCCTTCCTTCAAAGAGAAAATAAATAAATACCTACCAACCCACAACACACTGCTAGCCCCAAGCTCATTCCTAGTGGATCTTTCATTCCCTGTCCCCATGTTTCCCTCAGCTAATGGATGCCTTGGATGACAGACCATTGGCTTGCCATTAAACCTCAAAGGGTGGGAAGCCTGCTGGCTCAGGAAATAGGAGAGTTTTCTTTTCCCCTTTCCTGCTGCCAAGGTAAAATGAACCCCTTTGCCCAGATAAATGGGACCATAGATATATCCTCATAGGCTAGAAGAGGAGAGTTACAAAATTTGTATGGGAAAAAGTACATATCTGACAATGAAAGACAAATACTTATGTAAATAATCTCTACAGGAGAGAGGAAGAATAGCATCTCCAAGTTTACACATAACATTAAATGCTTCTTCTGGTTCTCAAAATGCCAAACAAATGGGCATAAACCAGAAAACCTTGCAAAGCAGCTCTGGTGTGGCACAAAATATCTGGACTTGAAGTCAGGAGTTCTGGTTTTAATTATTCATTAGCTGTGTGCCCTTGAGCAAAAGTCTGAGGCAACTTGACTGAGACTTGTCTCCTCAGTTGCAAGATGTAGCATTTAATATGGATTCATGGCAAATGGGTAGCAGCAAGGGTGTTTCGTTACCTCCAGTACTGTTCAGGAGCTGAGGAAGCTGAGGTGTTGATGCTGAGGAAATAAACCCATACACAGGGGTGGTTTTGCAGGAGGATGAACAAGTCATCCCATCGTGGGTGCCATATAGTCCAATGGTAGTGCTTGAAATTGAACTTACTGTTGAGACAATGCAGAAGTTCTGGATGAATGTGAGGCTATGGCATGGCTGAGGAGGGTAAAGAATGAAAATCTTGCAAGGGTGAGTCTCACAGCAAGAGGTGGTTTTTATGTGGGAGTGAAGGAGTAGTGGCTTAGAGAAGGAAATGCTTCATTGAGAGGATGTTGAAAACCTCTAACCGAACAAATACTGAAGTGCAGGGAATGCAGTCTTTGCAGGACCGACTAAATACTATTGTCTATTGAAGTTTCCCAATGTGTTAGGCATTGTCGTGCTTCTTATGTATACTCATTTAATCTTCATAATAATCACAAGGGAGTTGTTTCTCTCATTTTCAGATGTAGAAACTGAGGCTAAAAAATTTTTGGTAACTTGCCCAGACTTACTTAGTTACATACTTAGTGAGTGACAGAGCTGGGATATAAACACAGAAGATCTGAACTCAGAGCCTGAGCTCTTAACACCCACACTAGGCCTGCAGTGTTCTTGAGGGATTGCCAGGATCCACTCAAAGCCAGGGAGAGAGGAATTGGGCTGTGGAGGAATTGCAGCTCTACAGGAGTTTGTTTACTTTTAAATTTAGGTTCTGGGTGGTATTTGGATGAAAGCAGAGGTAGGGCAAATTGGGAATAAAAAAATACAGAATTCATAATAAGAAGACTGAAGTGGAAAAGTGAATGACCAGTGGGTCTTGAATTTTTTGATAGTATCTCATGATGACAAGAATATGAAAGATAGTGAATTTAGCTGGCATCAAAGCTTGAATATTGCTTCAATATAAAGATACTCTTCTGTTGACTCTGGCTTGCATTTTAGTACTTGTTCCAAATAGAACTCCAGTGAGAATTGGCCAAGATGCTGCAAGAAGACACTTTCTAGGAGCCTTAGAAAGAGAAGACCTCAGGTCTTTGCAGCCAAGGACAAGTCAGAGCTTTTCTGATGGGTATGGTAGCATTGTACCAGAGTTAGGCCACCAGTGGCACTCAAAACTTGTTTCTTTCTATGCTATTGGACAGACAGAAAAACACAAAGAGGATAGAAATCCAGAGAGGTGGAAGGACCAGCCAAATAAACTGTGTACTTTGCAGTTTGTCTGTGATCTTGTAGCAGTGGTTGTTGCTACTCAAAAAAAAAAAAAAAAAAATCAATTCTGTGGTTTGCACGATTATATCAAGTATAGTATGGAAGGCTGAAAACCTCAACTTTCTCTAAGCCAGTTGGATTTCTCTAAGCCAGAATACTCTATCCAGTGCTATCATTGTATTTAAATATCTTCAACTGGGAGAAATGGGGGAGAAAGGAAAATAGAAAGGAAAGAAATGAAATGTGTAATGCATACATTCTACCCTCTGTCCCCTTATCACACACAATGGTCCTACTGAGTATATACACATATACACACACATATAGTATACGCAGATATACACAGATTCTTTCATTCTCTATATATCTTTAATTGAGAACAGAGCACTAGTTGGAGATGTTCGAATTTGTTGGAACTTGTTTTTTATTATTATTTTTAGAGACAGAGTCTCGCTCTGTTGCCCAGGCTGGAGTGTAGTGGCACAATCTCCACTCACTGCAACCTCTGTCTCCCAGGTTCAAGCAATTCTCCTGCCTCATCCTCCTGAGTAGCTGGGGCTACAGGTATGCGCCACCACACCCAGCTAATTTTTTTTGTATTTTTAGTAGAAACGGAGTTTTCCATGTTGCTCAGGCTGGTCTCGAACTCCTGAGCTCAGGCAATCTGCCTGCCTTGGCCTCCCAAAGTGCTAGAATTAAAGCATGAGCCACTATGCCGAGCCTGTTGGAACTTTGGAAACTTCCAACATTTACTTTGGCATTGCTGTTTGACATAATGGGCAGTAAATTGTGGAGGAATTCTTATGTATTTACTTATTTAGAATATTGATTGCTTGATTTCTTACTTATTTGTAATCCATTACAGGCTATCATAGTTAGAAATTTTAAAATGAAATTTATGAGTGAAACACCTATTATAAAGTACCAAAAGGACCCAGAATATTTGGTGGAGGTCCTCTAAAGCCAGTCACAAACTAGGCATTAAGGCCCTTCCCCAACCCTGCTATGAGAGATACATCCAATCTCCCTATCCTGGTGAGCAGGTTAAAAGGGTAAGGAGCTTGGCAAGAGAAATGGGTCTCAAAGAGAATAGCGTTCCACCTAAAGCCCACAATTAGCCATCAGGACCATCAGTGTTTGCAATGAGACTTGGGATCAAGATGCAAAGTCCAGTAGGGGCCAGAACTATGGAAGGTGTAAACATCAAGTACCAAATCAGAGCAGGTAAATTGGGAAGGGTCTGGTGGAGTCCTAGAGATGGAAGGACTTGCCAGACACCAGGATCATTTAAAGGAGCCCAAAACAGGATGTTCAGAAATAAATACTTTCCCAGAATGAATCACCAATATGGCCCAACTTGTTAAGTCCAAATGTTTTAATGAAACTGAACCATGTGGTAGGTCTAGAAGGACAAGAACATCCCTGAGTATATTAGCCCAGAGTATCACTTCAGTGAAAAAGCCCACTCTGTGTTAAGAATCATTAAGGAAGTTACAGAAGTACAAGATAAAAAACGTTCTCTGTGATCCCGGGTAGGGATGATGGAGGAGAAAAAGAAATCAGAGTTCAGCTACAGAAGAGAAGGCTGAAAGAGTGAATAGATCCAGACAAGCAGGGGGCAGTCCTCAGAAGTCAGTTAAAGTGGGACCAAGCAGGGAGATGTGGCTGGTGACCAGAACCTAACCTTTGTGCAACGTTATGGTTTACAAAGCATTTCCACATGCAGTGACTACCACCCATCAGGATGAGCCAGTACAACTTAAGGGCAAGGTAGAGTTGGAAGTGCAATGAGATAAAGACGCAGAAGGCTCAGTCCTTATCCGAGCCTTGCCACTGTGTTGTGTTAGACCTATTTCCTTCCTCCTTTTCTTTCTTGGTTTCTTCATTCCCTCAACCTCAGCACTATTGCCAATCTGAGGTAGATAATTATTTGTTGCACATTGTAGGATTTTAGCAGTATTTCTGGCCTCAACCCACTAGATGCAAGTAGTACCCCACCCCAGCTGTGGTTTTGACCCCCAGGGCAATGTGTGGAGACATATTTCCCTAAGAAAATTGCCCCTGGTTGAGCACCATTGATCTAAATAAATAAACAAACAAACAAACAAGCAACAAATCTTCCCTCATTGTTTTTGATGATCTCTGCGCTCTCTTCCATCTTTTGGAAAAGCCCCTAGCAGGCCATGCTATTGTAATTGCATGGACTCTGGTTAGGGTCAGAGAGGACTGAACTCAATCCTGGCTCTGTCACTTGCCAGATGCATAATCTTAGACAAGTCACCTACTCAATCTAAGTTGCAGTTTCCTTGTCTGTGAAATGGGGATAATAACAATACCATCGCAAAGGTTAGAAAATGATATGAGATAACTTATATAGTGCATATAGTGCATTCGGGGAGACAGGGACATGGTAAATGCTTAATCATTGTGAACTATCATTATTATCACCATTGTATGAGAAGGTGGCTGTCCTTGACCATTCAGTATGTCACCTTCTCTCTCTTGTGGAAATAGGAAGATGAATAAGACAATTCTCTTCCCCTCAGGAGTCTGCAGTCCATTAGGGAAGAAAGGCCTGTCCATGAATCACTGTAATGCAGGAAACCAAAATGATTGCCAGCAATAATGTATAAGTTGCTGCCACTGGGTTGAGAAGCAGAGAAACAGATGCCAGGATCACCTCAATATGCACAACTGTGGTGCAGTGTCACCTGGAGCACTCTAGGAAGTTCTGGATGCCACATCTCAAGATCAAAGAGGTCTGGAGAAGGTCCAGGGAAGGGCACCTAAAACGATAGGAAATGTTGGTGCTCTTGTGTCTTGGTCTGGGAAGGAGAAGGCAGAAAGAGCTCAGGATTGAAATCTGTGAAATCATGAAAAGTAGATATGCATTCATTTCCTCGCTTGTTTCATTAATTAAAATATGAAAATGTCTTGGTTCTGTTATATGGTTATAGAAATGAGCAAATACAACCACTGCACTCAAGAAATTCAGATTTACTGAGAGAAACAAGCCTGTAAGCAAGTAGTGTATTTATAAGACATCAGTAGAATATATAATGTCTGGCCGGGCATGGTGGCTCGTGCCTGTAATCCCAGCACTTTGGGAGGCTGAGGCAGGCATATCACTTGAGGTCGGGAGTTTGAGACCAGCCTGGCCAACAGGGAGAAACCTGTCTGTACTAAAAATATAAAATTCAGTTGGGCGTGGTGGTGTGTGCCTTTAATCCTAGCTACTCGGGAGGCTGAGGCAGGAGAATCGCCTAAACCCAGGAGGCGGAGGTTGCAGTGAGCTGAGATCATGCCAGTGCACTCCAGCCTGGGCAACAGAACAAGGCTCCATCTCGAAAAATAATAAAAATAAAAATTTATAAAAAGGACATATAATGGTCTTATGACTGACCTGTAGTAGGAGGTTAGAGGGAGGAAGAGGCAGGGTCAAGTGCAGCTTCACAGATAACGTGACACCTGATTAGTACCTTAAAGGGTGAATAGAATTTCTAGAGAAAAGAGAAGCAGGCCATTCAAGGGCGAAGAGAATTCCAACAGCACAAATGCTATGATGATTGGAGAAGATGCCCCGGGAGCAGGTAATGCCACCTCTAGGATGAGTTCAGTCACATTTTCTGCATTCTATCCAAGGGCTTCTCCAATGAGCACCCTGCTCAGTCTATACAAAAATGGATACCAGAAGTTCAGAGAGCTTCCAGGGGTAACCATCAGCCAACAGAAAATACATGCCAGTGGCAACTGCTCAGGCCTCCTCCATCAGGCGGATATCTGCAGGAGGCATTCTGTGTGCTTCCTGGAGTGAAGGCAAAATTGGGCCCACCTTGCCTACAGCAGCAACCTAAATAGTTCTTCCCTGCCTCCCTCTCTCTGCTGCCTCACTCCCATTTCCTTGGATATTAACCCACATATGAATAGCCTGATGCGAGGTTTTTATTTCAGGCTCTGCTCTTTGGAGAAACCCAAACTAAGACAGGACTAGAGTGCAATGAAGGAGAAACAGTCATTTTTCACCAATACTTGAATTTCTAAATTTATAACAACAATACACTATGGTATACTTTGTGGTCAGAAAAACTTTCCAACATTGTTGAGCCACCAACAGTTTTGCAATCTTGGACAAATTACTTAACCATTCTGAGACTCAGTTTCTTCATCTACTTCCTGTCTCCCAGAATTGGGAAAAGATGAGATATGGTATCTAATGTACTTAGCATACATAAGGCAGTCAATACATGTTAATTACTATTAATATAATAATATATACTCACGCCTGTAATCCCAGCACTGTGGGAGGCCAAGGTGGGTGGATCACGAGGTCAAGAGGTTGAGACCATCCTGGCCAACATGGTGAAATCCCATCTCTACAAAAAATACAAAAATTAGCCTGGTGTGGTGGCGCGTGCCTGTAGTCCCAGCTATGTGGGAGGCTGAGGCAGGAGAATCGCTTGAACCCAGGAGGCGGAGGTTGCAGTGAGCCGAGATCGCGCCACTGCACTCCAGCCTGGTGACAGAGTGAGACTCTATCTCAATAAATAAATAAATAAATAAATAATAATAATAAATTGAACAACAGACAACAATATCCTCTTTAAAATCAGAGTATTATGGTAAAGAGATATGGTTCTACTTTACACAGTAACAGCTTTTTAACTTTAGTATCATAAGAAGCGTTTCTGGCTTGATACATTCAAAATGCAGCTTAACAGTCTTAAAAAGTAATAAGACCATTTTGGTTTTGGCCCAATATATGACAGCATGTTTGGCCAAATAAAGAATATTTTTTTCTTCAAAACAGTGTTCTTAAACTGTCAGTACTTGAATCGTTTTTAGAAGTCTTCTTTGGGATAGGCACTCAAAGTCAATTTTCATGACACATTGAGAAAACCAATCTTATTAAGTTATAGTCACAGCTCATTTTTTACCTAAAATGCTCATAACCAGCTTGATCAAGCCCTTTAATCCCTAGGCTCAGCTCTTGGTGATCTTTAGCTGTTTCAAATCAAATTTACTTTCAATGGAAAAAAATTGCAACCACTGAGGAAATTCAAAATGACATATTATAAGGGACAGAGGAAATTTCCAAAAGTCTCCCAAGGTTTGACACATGGAAGCTATGGACTCATATGATTTTAGAGCTAGCAGAGATCATCAGCTCTTCCCCATTACAAATGGGAAAACTGAGAGGAGGGAAGGGGACATGCTTTGATAAAAGACACACTGATCATTGGTAGTGGACTCACACATAGGAGCCTGACTGTCTACCTCCTAATCCAGTGTTCTTCTAGCTACACCATGAATTAAGAGCATCTTGGAAAAAAAGTACATAGCTTTTCAGAGTGACTGCTCTGAAATGGATAATGACCATTTGAATATGTAAGTTCATAAAATATTATCACATATGGTCCTGACTTGGTAATGGGTTGAAGAACCTAGACAAATTCGTCACTGATAAAATCATATCAAGCTGTAAGCAAAATAAATGAATGCCTTTTTTTCTGAATTGAAATCAGTGATAATAATATCGTACTCCCATAGCACATCTCTTAGGGTAAAAGTGGATGATGAACTACTCCAGCAGTTGGTTAGGAATCTGTTTCATTACAGCAATTCCTTTGTTCCTGTATCACTATATTTGTAACACATACACACATGCACACACGTGAGTGCCACACACCCTGGCCCTCTTCTCAATGGGGAGCGTTGTCTTTGCTTTGATAGGGAAGAACAGTAATTACAGATTTTAAGTTTTAGACAAAGCTGCATGAAACCCTGGGTGCAGTGGTTCACACCTGTAATCCCAGCACTTTGGGAGGCCGAGGCCAGCAGATCACCTGATATCAGGAGTTCAAGACCAGCCTGGCCAACATTGTGAAACCCCGTCTCTACTAAAAACACAAAAATTACCCAGGTGTGGTGGTGTGCACCTGTGATCCCAGCTACTCAGGAAGCTGAGGCAGGAGAATCACTTGAACCCAAGAGGCAGAGGTTGCAGTAAGCCAAGATCACACCACTGCACTCCAGCCTGGGCGACAGAGTGAGACTCTGTCTCAAAAAAACAAACAAAAAAAGCTGCAAGGCACATGTATACATATGTAACTAACCTGCACAATGTGCACATGTACCCCAAAACTTAAAGTATAATAATAAAAGAAAAAAAAGAAAAAAATAAAAGAAAAGAAAAAAAAGGAAAAAAAAAAGCTCAACCTTTGATTATTATTCTAAATAACAACTTGCTTAAAAGCTTAACCATATGCACACATAAACACACACACCTTGTTCAATATCATTTAAAGAAACCTCAATCCCATCTGCAAAGACACAGGGAAATAATTGATTATTTAAATTTTGATAGTTTAAGGTTGCTGATGCACACGTTATAAAACAAATAGATAATTCTATTATTCTTCATGGGGATTTTCTAGGGTGAAAAAAAAATACTCTGGTAAAAAGTAGAGGTAGGAGAATGTTAATTACCAGCTAATGAGTTGGGGATATAAATCTGGCCATCTCTGTTTTCCATTAATTGACCAGATTAAGTCAGTCATCATTTGATTTCCATGCTTTCTTTTTTTCAAACACAAGTCTTTTCTTTCAGGCTATAATTACCAGTTACTCAGGCCTCATTCAAGTTCATTAGAAATTACACATTGAGTTCAATTCAGCTCAGTGGAAAAAAATTAAAAAATAATTATTATATAGTATAAATTATTTATATAACTACATAAATGTACATTATAAATATATGACATTCACAATATACATTTAATGTGTATATAATTATATGTAAGATGGTCTATGCCACACATCATAATAGGTGCCAGGGATTCAAAAATTAAAATGTCACCATCTAAAGGTCTGAGCTGGGTCTGCTCAGCTATAGACTGGTTTGTGAGCATTCCAGGCACCTCTGAAAACAAGCTGCCATCAAGAAAGCATGCACTTCCCTCCTCCGCAACCCCTCCTCCCCCAACCACTGGCTCTCTCTAAGCCATGAATTTCCTCGTGTCTAGTGGAGCCGTTTATGAAATAACTGGCTCCATTGATTTCTCTGTCCAATACAGGTATGCTTGCTCAGCTGCCCATCTGTTTCCTACTTTAGGCAGGACCATTGAGAAAAATAAAGGAAAGAGAATACGTGTGTGTTTGTGTGTGTGTGTGGTCTGTGTGTCTGGAGATGTGTACATGGAGGTGTGTATATAGAAGTGGTGTCAAGGGGAGAAGTAGGGGTTCAAATCATTCTTCTCTGTAGGAAAGACACTCATCTACAGCATGGCCCGTGGTATTTCCCCCAAAGTTAAGTGGGAACTTCACTTCCTGTTTAGAGGTTGTCAGGGAGCACAGAGAGCATTGCAGAGTCTACTGGACTCATGGTCAAGAGACCTGGTGCTCCTCAAGTGCCTCCATTTGCCAGTGCTGTAACCCTGGCAAAAAATAAAATAAAATAAAATAAAGCTGACCCTTCATTACCATTTTTCTCATCTGTAAAATAGGTTAATGGCTCACCACTCCTTCTACTTCATAGAAAGGTGTTCAGAGCCATGTGGCAGGACTTCCTGGAGAGTTATTTGGAAACAATAGAGCAATGCACAATTACAGGTTTTATAGCATTAGAATACTTGAGGTAGAGGATATGGCTGGAGAAGGTGATCATGGCAATATTCGTAAGAGACCATCCATCAAATCATATGGTTCTTTGAACTGTCTCCAACCACTGCCCCGAGTTTTTCTAGAGGACGTCCTCCCTTCTTTTTCAGGTGGCTACCACACTTGCAGGCTATTTATTTTACATTAGAACCTAGATGCTTGTTGCCTCTGGCGGACTCCAAAGACACTATCTCTCCAAAAGGCTTTGAAGAATGATCTATGAAGGACGCTACAAAACATCTCAAGATCAATTGCTGTAATTATCCTCTGAATAATTTTCTGCCATTATTCAGGCTGTACATATTGTACATGAAAGGCTGTGTTCAGCCAAACCAGAAGCTTGCTGGGTCCGAGATTTACAGCTCACTGTGCAAGAAGATTTAGAAGGAAAACCCCTAGGATATCCATCTGGAGATTGTTGAGAGGATAAAGGAAAATATAAGTTCTTTTAACCTTAATATTCTTTATACTCTGCTCATTATGATTAGATATATCTTCTAGTTAAGCCCTGAACAAAAATAGAACTGGTAATGAAAAGACTATTTTCTTTTCTACTGCTAAGGGAAAATAGCATGCATAAAAATAATAATAACAATATAATAGCTCCAATGCTTAGCTATTTAGAGAGCCATCCAACGCCTCTCATTTACTAACTTTAGAAAGAAAAGAATTCCTCTCTAAAGAATGGAAAAACACTACTTGTCACTTCCTATACTTTGTAGTCACTCAAATACTTCTTTTCTTTTAAATATATAAGAGAAAGAAAATCACTGAGTTATGTATATCTGACTCCCCCCTCAAGCTCTCAGGGGAAAAAAGTTGCCTGAAAGAGGGCGGAACACAGGGCTGCTGAGAAAGATGATGAGAGCTTCTTTCCTTTTTTTTTTTTTTTGAGACAGAGTTTCACTCTTGTTGCCCAGGCTGGAGGGCAGTGGCGCGATCTCTGCTCACTGCAACCTTGACTCCCGTGTTCAAGAGATTCTCCTGCCTCAGCCTCCCAAGTAGTCGGGATTACAGGTGCCTGCCACCATGCCCAGCTAATTTTTTGTATAATTAGTACAGATTGGGTTTCACCATGCTGGCCAGGCTGGCCTCGAACTCCTGCCCTCAGGTGATCCACCAGCCTAGGCCTCCCAAAGTGCTGGGATTACAGGTGTGAGCCACTGCACCCAGCCATTCTTGTCCCATTATTAAGATTATTAAGGAAGCAGGGTTAAAGGGGAGAATAAAATTCAATATATTTGCTGTTGCATTGATCATTAATATAAACCAGCTTTGGCTCAGATGAGACAGTAAACACTCCTTTTTCTGACCTCTAGTACCTGGGTGATAGGCCATCAGTGGCGGGACAATAATGCATTTTAGCAGCAAATTTCCTATGTGTCATGGCTGATGGTTTTTTTCTCTGAAAGGGCTATGTAAAATCATATCAAGGCAAGAGTTTGAACATAACTAAGGTGCTTTCTGCTATTTTTTGCAACCAGACCCAAGGGGGAAAAAAATCAAACTCCAGGTTGTTTAGGCAATAACAAAAGAATGATAAGTTTCATAACAGGACAATTCATTTTGAAGGTTCCATTAGTGTCCATAGGGGTTATTTAGTTGACAACATCGGTTTAGGCAAGGTTGCTAAAAATGCCCTGAAATAAAATGGCTTAGATACAGCAGCTGAGGGGCATTACTCTGCAGGCTGAGATATATGTTTTGGGTCTAAATTCAGCTGGGTGCTCTGTCAGTGGAGGAATGAAATAACCTGGCCTGTAGACACAGGTGCAGACTGAAGGCTTCAGTCTGTTTAAGAGGCATAAACGGCCTTCCTTGATTCCTTTTTTGGGGGCTCATGATGGATGGGGTTAAGAGTGACAATGGGAAGGCTGAAAAAGGGAAAGCACAATGAAACGTCCTAGCATTCATATTCTTCTACTGAAGAACTTCCACCTGGATTGAAACATCTGGACAGCACCTAAATTCTCAATAAACTTACTTTTTCCTCCTTTCTTCCTGAGGGATTTTGGAAGGAAAAAAACAAAAAGGGAAGATTGGTTCATGGTAGAGTAATAAAGCTGCCTTGTTTGAAAGGATCTTAGAAATCATTGAATCCAACATGATTAGACAACCAGCTTGGTAGGCCAAATCCTTCCTGTGGGCTCATGGTAGCTCCTGGTGAGCACAGGCTTGACTCACAATAGGAGCTTAAAACATATTTTAATATGACTGGGCTTTCTCATTTTATAAACACATATATAAATTGAATACCAAATAGGTTAAATGGCTTGCCCAAAGTCACAGGGCTAAATAGTGGCAGGATGAAATTACTTGAAATTAAAGCTCAGATCTCTTGGGTTCTTTGCCAAAAGAAAATAGACCCTTAAAGGACCAAATGTTTAATATTACATCTATTATATCAGAAATATTTGTCATATGGAATTTTCTTTTCTTTCTGATTTGTTGTATTTGGCTAAATCCTAGTTAGAATTTTTATCATGAAATCTGGAGATTCATGACTTTAGCAAAAATAAAAAGTTCTGGAAGTACTTGCAGATTTCATCAGTTGGATTGTATCTGTATGTGTGAGGTGTGTGATGTGTGTGTGTGTGCAGTGTGTGTGAGCACACAAGTGCATGCATGCTTGAGAAATTTCTGTCAGTAATGGGGTTCTTAGTAGACAGACTTCAGATAATTCCATTGCCAGGTAGGATGTCATGCTCTCTTGATATGAAAAGACTTGGGAATTTTGCTCAATCTCTCAAAGGGCCACGGCCCTCCAAAGCATTAAATGCATACCAATGCTATCAAAGTGGAAAAAAAAGCCCTAAAATCTGAGGATAATTGCACACATCAAGCTAATTACCCAGAAGCACTATTAGCTAATGAGATTAGCCAGAAGCCCTGTCTAGCATTGATTAATCAAAGAATAATGCCAATGCACCTGCCGTACAAAGGCACCTGATCTCTAACAAAAGAAAGATTTGCCCATGTTTGGAAATACTACTGCACACTTCTTTTTTTACCATCCTCTTGCTTTATAAGAATTTTTTGGATGAATGCTCCAGGGAAGGCTACGATGAACTGTAAACCAACATTTCTATCACTCTGGACAAAAAAAAAACTCAGACTGTGACTCAATTTCTCCATTAAAAGAATGGAAACACTTATAATCTATGTCCCTCTAGTTCACAAGATTGTAAGAAATCATTGGCAGAGTTATACACAGTCTGAGCTCCAAGCAAAATCTTCAGTGCTTAAAAATAGCAAACTAGTCAAATGCTCCAATTATGAAATTTGTAGTTGATAATCCCTTTGTCTTTCACCAGGAAAATGCTCACATTAAAGAGAAGAGCCATCAGTCCATCAGTTTACAATATATAAACAACCTAAAATAAAATGGCAAATAATTTCATAGGAAAAAATACAAATAACAAATAATCATATAGGAAAATGTCACCTTACTCATAATTCTAAAAATGTAAATCAAAACAACAAAAATTCTTCTCTCATAGCTGAAGAATGTCATTCATTCAGTTATTTTGACACCAATATCACTGTAAAGATGCAATGATCTTTTTTTGACAAAAATTACCAAAGAATCACCACATAATTTTAAAATTCCTATACTAAACTGCATTTCATTTTTTTCTCTGGATGACTCTTCTTATCCTAGGCCTCATGTAGGGCTTTTTGTGATATGCATTAAGAAAAAAAAAGTCATCAGGGTGACTGTCTTGTGGTGGTGTAGTATTGATGTACCAGCTAAAAGAATTCTGGATGGTAAAAGGCTGGGAGAAAGAGTTTATATCACCACTTATTGGAAAGCAAATTCAAATGCTTTTGAACTTCAAAGGTTCTTTGTAGAGAGAAATTAGCCAAGTTTCCTTCTTGTTGGATGAGGAACTTTATTTTCTACTGGGAGGGGCATGGTAGAAAGGGCTGGTACAGCTCTAAGTTCTGTGGAGACATCATCAGAAGCAGATGTCTCTTAGAGTCCAAGAAGATGCCACAATGAACACCAGTGTTTCTCTCTTCTTTGGAACAGTAGAATATAATCGCTGTCACAGAAAACTTTTCCCCCAAAGCCAACAATTATGAATGTATTCTCAGATTTTTTTATACAATGAATTTTGTCATAGGTAGAGGAATTATGGAAAACGTATTATAAAGCACTTTCTCAAAGAAATAATTTGTTCATACTTATATGGTGGTCCTCATTATACTGTTGTACAACAAAAGATTTACTTGTATCCCTGCCAGAAGGTAAGATTGTTCAGGTCCACAACCTGGTCCTATTTGCTGGTGGGTTTCCAAGAGCATAGCACAGTGCCTGGCACAAAATTAGTGCACAAAAAATGTTGGACATGTGGTTAATGTAGTCTAGAAGCTATCACTGAAGGTATCAAATCCTTTTCCTTTAAGATACAACTTCATTTATATATATTTCTTAGCAATCTCTAATAATTGATCTATTTATTCAACAAATATTCACTGAGTGACAACTCTGAAATAGCCTCTATTCTAAGTGCTGGGAGGGCGGCAATGAAGAAACAAAGCAAAAATCACTGTCTTTATGGATCTTATGTTCTAGTAGAGAGGCAGATAGATGGAAATAAATGCTATAGAGAACAATAAAGCTGGACTACAGGAGTATTGACATTGTGTGTTTGGGGGGGTGCAGCATGGAATGAAAATTTACTGGTTTCAGTTAGTCTTCTTTTAAGAAAAACAAGGAAGACTTGGAAATCTAGATGGATAGAAACAAGTCCATACTTTTTTTTTTTTTTTTTTTTTAAGACGGAGATTCATTCTTGTTGCCCAGGCTGGAGTGCAATGGGGCAATCTCTGCTCACTGGAGCCTCCGCTTACCAGATTCAAGCAATTCTCCTGCCTCAGCCTCCAGAGTAGCTGGGATTACAAGTGCCCACCACCACACCCAGCTATTTTTTTGTATTTTTAGTAGATACTGGGTTTTGCCATGTTGGTCAGGCTGGTCTCGAAATCCTGACCTCAGGTGATCTGCCCGCCTCGGCCTCCCAAAATGCTGGGATTACAGGCATGAGCCACCACACCCAGCCAACAAGTCTATACATAAAGAAGGTGGCCAGGTCTAAAGACAGGAGCAGTGGACCAGTAATGTCCTAAAAAAATGTGTGAGCTATCAAACTCCTGTCTCTCCTGCTGTTGTGACTATACTTAGCCACCTCCCTTCAGTAACAGACTTGATTTTACCCATTTGAACTTGCAAATTGCCTCTTTTCTGTGGAACGCTCGTTATCTGTTCACATGGAAGCCCCAGCTAAGCTCATAACGCATCTCCCCCATCACACTGTTCCTCAAGTGGATAAAACTGTCTCTGCTGCTGGGCAAACTCCCACTGCTAATGTAGCGTGACCTTGGATGCCATTTTTGGCATGTTCCATCATACCAGGAAATGACATCTGCCTCCCCCTGGGAAGCAGATCATATTAGTAGCACTTTTCTTAGATGTAGAATAAGTCATGAAGTTTAGCTTTGCAATCTGATGGTTGAAGAGCCTATACTGAAATCCTAGTCATTTAATGTCAAAGTTCACTCTCTTTCCATTGCACTGTACTTCTTCATCAGCCACTTTGAGGGGCAGTGGATGCACAAATCATGCAGAAAGAAAGTGGGGAGAGTAGAATGATCCTAAATACAAGCTTGGCTGATGTACATTATGCCAAAGGCTAGGGCTATGTGAACTTGTTTACTTCATTTCCACTTTCCTATTATAGAGGGCCCAATGACTTTCACGGTCCTAGGAATTTTTGCTCATTCCGACACATCAGTGGATTCTTACTCTTTCTGATAAGACAAAAAAAAAAAAAAGTACTTGATATCAGCTTACTTCATGGCTTTTATTTATAATACAATGTTTTTTTCTTAGGAAAAACATTTTAGCTAATATATTTTATAATGGGAATGTCTTTAAACTTAAAAATGTGGACTCTTGCAAATTGCATGGCTCCTCTGTACGGGATCTAAGCTGTGACAAAATCTGTGTTCACAATTGTAAAAATAAAACTAAGGTACTTTCTATTATTTATTTGACTCCATCCTTCACATCTCTTCAGATATTTCACAGGAAAAAATTGTCACCCACTTTCTTTTAATCAGTCTCTCAACCCCGTTGTGTGTCTCTAACATCTGCATTTACTGTATTTGAAGAAGAGGTTAAAAGATCAGAAATGTGGAAATGAACCTTTTAGAATTCCATATTTACCTTAAGAACTTAAGGTAAATACAACCAGAGCTGGTTAAAAGGTGAAAAAACAAAGTCAAACACCAAGAAAAGTACAGATTGTACCAGGACTTTTTGCTGCTTTCGAAAATTTGGAATTATTACTTGGAAATGTCTTCAACAAAAGCAATAAAAACATGTCAGAAATGTAAAACATCAGCCTGCTCCCCATACCTGCTTTTAAAAATTGCTGTTTGATTGACTCCACAGGGAACGGCAGAAGCAAGGCAATGGGCCTTACACAACGAAACACTTAAATATGATTGAGGAAAGGCCAGGGTCTGAGGCTATTGCAGTGAAGAATTTATTCACAGTGTTTCTAAAGGTGTATAAGGAGGCGAGGTTGTAGGAAAGGGGGAAGGAAGGAGAAGAAGAAATTTGTTGGCAAAGGTGGAGTTGGGGGCATACAAGAGCAAAATATGGAGAAAAACATTTTTTAAATAAAACAAAATACCCTTAAGTCAGATTCCTTTATATAAACCTTTGGGGACCCAATAAAAAGCTATGACTAAATGAAAGTGTTACCAAAGCAGATGGAGAATAACATCAGAAAATCAAATGACACATTTAAAAGGGCAAAACATCAATATAACCTAAAGAACTGATCAAATGTGTCATTTTGAAATGCACACCAAAGCAAGAAGATCATGAAATGCATTAAAATGGTGAACTGGGGAATGGAGAGTGGGCGCTTGGTTGACTCCCGCCATGTAGAAAATCAGACGTTATGTGCTAGAATACATGAATATAAAAGGAGGCAGGTTGTTTCTATACACATTTAGAAATTGTCAAAAAAGGATCAAAATGACGGGCCATGCCCAGAGACACATTTGTTACAGCCAAGGGGACTCCAGCAGGTTTCCTGGACAGACGTCCTGATGCTCTGCCTTGTCAAGTATTCGCTGCCTCTGAACTTTGGTATCTGTTTGGAGGAGGATTCACAGGTGGGAAGACCCACAGCTAAACCTCTGAGCTTAGGACTAAGAATATGATGTGGTTTCTAATAGCAGAAGGCCTTTGATGAGCAGCTTATCTATGAGTGTCACCCAGCCCTAGTAGACTTGTCTGTAGCAAAGCCCTAATCATGTTGGCCAGAAGAGCTGGTTCAGAGCGGCTAAACACAAGCTCTGTGTATGGATTAGGACAGTGAGTGTATGTTAAACCAGCAAGCCCAGCAACTTATCACTAGGTATATATACATTCTCCAGTGATTTTAAAATATTGCCAGAAATTTCAGATGGGGCTCTGAAAAACTTAGGAAATCCTTTGTTGGGTGCGGGGCTTGTGGAGAAGGGGTATGGGTCTCCCGTTTGACGTTTTGAAAATGTGATGTGCCTTCCTCTGCTCAGAGTGTCGTGGATAAGGGTAAGGGCTTTACAACAAATTGACATGGATTTTAATCCTGGTTTAGTCACTTATGAGCTATGAGACTGTAGGCAATTTACTAAATCCTCCTAAGCCTCAGTTTCCTCATCTCTAAAAGGGAGATAATAATGCTAAGTATCTCATGGGAGTCATTGGATTATATAAAATAATGCAGTTAAAGGGCTTAATAAGTGGCTGGCATAGAGTAAACACTCAATAAATTGTTATTAAATTAAATCATAAGCTGTACAACTAATTGGGACCTTTTTAGCTCATATAAACCTCTTTACTTAATAAGGCATTAGTAAAATGAGGCCCAGAAAGCTGAAATGCCTAGTAGTATCACCACTGCTGTAATGAACCAGAGACTTTTGTGTCTCCTACTTTCCCCATCTTTATATGTTGACCTCCAAACTTACTGTTTGTCTTCAGGCTGTGGCTGGGGACACTTTCCATATTGTCCATTAGTTCTGCCCCTGAATCTCCTTCTTTCCCAATTAAAGAACTTACTCTTATTTAGTGAGAATCAACTAATAAACTTTGTGATGTTAATGACTGATACGGGATTAGAATATCCACCTGCATGCCTTCTTTAGGATATTTGTATTTCAGAGTAAATTGCAAAACTCAGCTGGAAAGAATCTCAAGCACTGACTGAGGTGGAGGGACTGGAGACATTTGTATTGCATATGAAAGGTCTTCTCATACCTCCTTCAAATGAGGTCACAGAGCCATTGCACAAGAAACTTCAAGGCCATCGTTAACCTCTCTGTGAATGATGCCTTGATAAATGTGCAATGTGTAGCCCACATGTAGGTCATGTAAACAGGAGACACTATCTCTCAGATGATTAGTTTTCGAGTCATGAAAGATTAAAACAGCTGCCTCCAGAAATACTGAAATTAATTCAAGTCCCTAAGGAAGATCAATAGGACCAAAGGGGGACAATGTAATTACCTTTGATACAAACTAGAAATATTTTTAGAAGATTCCTTTAAAATCTATACCCCAAAAAATCAAATCTTTCTGATTTCTTAATGTTAAGAGAGAATTGAAGAAGGGAGAGAAAGAGGAGAAAGAGAACAAACATACTTGGGAATTCTTTTCTAAAAGTAAAGAAAGAAAGCATGTGGACCTACGTCTGTCAAATTTTAAGCTTCCCTACTTCAGAAATTGGCTGAGACACCAGAGCACTCAGGATTCCAAGATCATTCTCATACGGTTCCTCTAAGACATTACATCTGTAGCACTGGATGCTCTGAATTCATCCAGATTGAGGAATATGGTCTAATTGAGAAATCAAGACCAGAGGCTGAACAACGGGCCAGTATATATTAGACAAGGATGACCAGAAGTTTCCAAGGGAGGCAGACAATGTGCCTCTAGTAATATAGTAGCCTTGGCCAAAAGGCATCCTGCAGCCATCTGTGGTGCTTGCTCTCTCCTTTCCTCAGATTCCTGTTTCAATCAGCATTTCAGTGAGGCCTTTCCTGATGCCACATCTGAAAGAGTAACTCCAACCCACACCAACATAACAATCCCCCTTACACCTCTCCAGCACTGAACACCATCTGACTTATTATAGATCAATTTGCCTATCCATTAACTGTCACTCTCTAGTAGGTGGGAAGATAGCTTCCCCAAATCTGTCCACTTTATATGGAGAAAGTGTTTTTGGAGGTGTGATTAAGCTAAGAACTTTGAGTTGGAGAGCTTATTCTAGGTTATCAGGATAGACCCTAAATGCAGTCACATGTATAGAAGAGAGGTAGAGGGAGATTTAACACACATTAAAGAGAAAGCCAGGTAAAGACTGTACAGAGAGATGTGAAGATGTTGGCCTTGAAGATTGGCATGATATGGCCACAAGCTAAGGAATGCCCACGGCCACCAGAAACTAGAAGAGGCAAGGAATGGGTTCTCCCCTAGAACCTCTGGAGGAAGAGAGTGTGACCTGGCTAACATCTTGACTTCAGACTTCTTGCCACCAGAACTGTGAGAGAACAAATTGTTGTTTTAAGCCACTAATTTGTTGTAATTTGTTACAGCCACCATGGCATACTAATACACTCTCCTTTAGTGAAATATAATCCCCAAGAGGAAAAAGACCTTTTCTCTCTTTTGTTCTTTATTCTATCCTCAATCCTACAGCTGGGGTCTGATATACACCAAACATTTAGTATTTACATTTGATAAATGAATAAGTGGAAGAGAAAGAGTCCATATAACATTGGGATCTAAATTTCTGTTCATTTTCCTCTTTAAAATAAAACTATTTTCAGCAGTTTAAAGAGTTAACATCTGCCAACATAAGTCAACAACTCACTTACAATATAATTAGTCCTACTAGAAGAACCATGTCAGGTAATACTTTAACGGAATGGTCTTTCCCAATTAGTAAGTGGCTGAGCTGGATCTAGAAACCAGGACGTTGGCTATCAAGCCTAATATTCTGTCCAATCTGGCCCAGCTAGCTTCATCTAGACATCCGTTCTTTTGGAGGAGTTTACAGGGCCCAGACAGAACCAAGGCTAGTTTCCACAGGTAACACTAACCAGTCTCATTTCTTTACAACCATCTTCATTTATCATATCTCCAAGAGATTTCTGTCTTAATAGTCAAAGCCAGCTGCTACCACCCAAGGCCGATTCTGCCAATGATAGATTTTTATAATGCGTGTAGCTAATAGGGCTTATGCTGTCATAATGTGGCAGGACTAGATAAATCTCTGTAATAAAACTAAGAATCTCTTGCGTTTATATATTGCTTTTACTTTCTAAGTGCATTCGCATCTGTTCTGTCATTTTCTTATTCCAATACCCTTAGGAATGATGGATCCGTCAGAGGCAATGCTCTTTTTATTTAGATCGAAAAAACTGGAAGGACGACTGAAAAGTGCTTTCAATAATCCCTTCTGGCAAGTGGGCATAGTCATTGCCCCTCTTACACACCAGAACCTTATTAGGATCAAATATGTAAGTTGATGTCCTTAGAAAAGCATAAAAAAGCTTACCCATCTGATGAGGCTCCTCTGATGAACCAGTCCTTGCTTTAGAATAAAAAATGAAATTCTGGCACTCTTACCCCATAAATTATAATTGCCTTTTTTACCTCTCCTTAAGCTTGGCGCCCCATCCCTCTTTTCTCCTCCCCTTGGCATGTAAACTTAATGTTTCGACCAAATGAGTCAACCAGAACGGGAATACAAATTCACTAAGCAAATGTACAAAAGGTATTCATGCGCTATTGCGGTTAAACTGCCATTAAAACAAGAACTAAACAATAAAAATCTTGTGTTTATAGGATGATGCAATCATAAAGAGAAAAAAATCATTCATCTTTGGTCATCAGCTGTTTTCTCCAGTCTGCCCATGATCTGCTCAGAGAAAGAAGATAAATGACAACCACTGAACGGGCCAGGATAACCAAACCCAGACTTGAGGGAGATGGTTTGTCCCATTTCTGCAGCTTTTGACACACATTCAATTTTGTTTGGGGAAATGCAAGGACCATGTCAATGGGAAAATCTTGGTCACAAAATATATATTTAGAGCAACTATTTCAAAATTATATTTTTCACTTCTTTTTTAGCTCTAATGGGAGCACATTTAAAAAAGGAATACATAACACTTATACCTTTTTAGAAAATAAGGTATTGCTCTTATAAGCCATTTATTCCTAATTACACAATTAGTTTATCATTCTGCACTTGCTGAGAAAAAGCCTATAAGGCAAAGAATGGGCTGACTTAAGTTTTTTTTTTTTTAATTATTAAAAAAAGTTAACAATCTAGTTTCTTTTCCTTCTGGAATTCAAAAATGTTAAAGCTACTAAGTATTTCTCATTTCTGGATAATAAAATAATGATGTAATTAACAATCAAATAGCATAACATCATATGAAATTGTTAAATCTACTTGTGAATAGAAGTAAAAGCTGTACCATTTTAAGGAATTTTAAAATGAGATAATTATCACGTAGTTTGAGAGTGGAAATCAAATTCTTCCAATATGCATGCTACTCTTGTTGGGTACTTCTAAAAAGTTGCTCTGATGGTGGGACTCCTAAGGTTTTGGATGGAGCCAGTTACAACTGCAGGGGCATTTGCTTCCAGAGTGTTATTTTTACTCCCAGTGAACTGCTCCTCCAACGGCCTTCCCCAGGACACAGTGTCTGCTGGCCACACAGTTTCTTCAGCCACTGCTCTGACTACAGACCAGAGGGCACCAGCTGAGCTGGGGAGGAATGGACTGCATTTCTCCTTCAGAGAGGTCCAGTACCATCCTTCACCTAGACTGTTGAGTCTCTTGATGGTTTCCCTGTTTCCGGCCCTGTCTTTTTTTTTTTTTTTTTTTTGAGATGGAGTTTCACTCTGTCACCCAGGCTAGAGTGCAGTGGCATGATCTCAGCTCACTGCACCCTCTGCCCCCTGGATTCAAGAGATTCTGTTGCCTCAGCCTCCCTAGTAGCTGGGATTACAGGCAACCGCCACCACACCCAGCTTTTTTTTTTTTTTTTTTTTTTTTTTGTATTTTTAGTAGAATAAGGGTTTCACCATGTTGGCCAGGCTGGTCTCAAACTCCTGACTTCAAGTGATTCACCCTCCTCAGCCTCCTAAAGTGCTGGAATTACAGGCATGAGCCACCATGCCCAGCCACTGTCTCCTTTCAATTAGTCTACCCCACAGCAGCTAGAGGTCCTTCTGAAATGAGAATTTGATTGTCTCTTCCTTAACATCCTTCAAGAGTTCACCATTCCTTTAGGATCACATCCAAATGTCAATGGATAGCATTCAAGGACCTTCTCCATCCTTCCCAAACCTGTCTTTCCAGGTCCCCTCCTGCTATGCATCACTTAATATCTTGTGCTCAAGCCTCATGAATGGAAAAGATATTTATGCCTCTTGTAGGGGAAGAAAAACAATTTTTCTTTCATCCTTCGTAAGTTCTTTGTTGGAACAAACTCCTGTTACAAAAGACAGATGAACAAGAGAAAAGCGAGGAAAAATAAGTTTATTAACATGTATATTTCATATATACATGGCAGACACCCAGGGAATAAGTAGTTCTCTAAGAGGTGGCTTTGAATACCAGCTTACGTAGTATCTTCAACAGAGAGAGGTAAACTTTTAGAGAAGTGACAAGACAAAGGAAAAGGACTGAGTTTCTGGGGACAGCAATTGGTGGGAAGACAAATAAATGGCAGACAAAGGCTGTTAGTAAAGCTTATTAATGTAGATTCCTCTAGTACCATCTCTAGACCAAGAAGCACCCAAAGTGGTCTCCAGTGCTTAACCTTTGTTCTCTCCCTGGTAGGAGGAGGAGCAGGGAACCTTTTGTCTCTGTCAGTCTAGGTCCTGCTTTTTAGGCAAATAGAGGGAAGGTAGAGAGCTTTTCTGCATCTGCCTCTTCCAAATTGCCTTCAGCTGGATAATCCTTCATGTTTTCAGGTGGCATATTCCAGCCTCCCACTGTTTTAGTCTGTTTGTGTCACTATAACAAAATACCTGAGACTGGGTAATGTATAAACCATGGAAATCTATTTCTCACTGTCCTGGAGGCTAGGATGTCCAAGAGCAAGGCACCAGCAGGTTCAGTTATCTGGGGAGGGTTGTTCTCTGCTTCCAGGATGGTGCCTTGCAGAGGAATCCTGCAGAGGGGCTGAATGCTGTGTGAAGCCTCTTTTATAAAGGCCTAAATCCCATTCACAAGGGAAGAGTCCTCATGACCCAATCATCTCCCAAAGGCTCACCTCTTAATAACTACTGCATTGGAGATTGTTTCAACCTGATGCTCAGAGGTCCACAAACATTCAGATCATAACACACACAATCTCTACTCTCTCTGCCTTCTTCCATGATTTATCCTGGTGATACCCATTCATCCTTTAACTCAAATGTCACTCTGGATTCTAAGTCTCAAAAGGGCAAGCATGACATCCTGTATACTTCACAACACGTGCATGGCTCACCGTGGCCTATGTGAAGTGCTTATCAGAAACTTCTAAACCTATTGTGAAAAGAACTAGCATTTCTTCCAATAATATTATTCCCCTGTTATTCACTTTTTCTGATCTTTTGCTTATTTTCCTATTTCTTTGCTTTTTTTTTCTTCTTTCATTTTCAATTTCTCTCTAATAGGGGGAGCACCAGGATGGGAAAGAACTTGAGGTTGGGGAGCCTTTGGTGAAACCAGTTGCTCTATCTGCCTCTACTGGAATTTCTTCTTAACACCCCATTGAATGCATCTGCCTCAGGGGCCTGGATTGTGACAGCTGTTTAATAAACCACATCAGCAGTGCACCAGGCTTAAGACAGAATGAAAGTGAGAACCTCATATTCCATTTCAACTCTGGTGATAACCTCTGAATTCCATTATTCACCATTTTAATACAACCTTTATTATTTTCCTCAATGTCCTCCCCCCACCTCTAGTTTCCTTCTTCCCTTTGGTGTAGTCAAATGGCCTTTGGCTCAGCGGTTGGTGGCTTTATACATGCAGCCTCTATTCATATGCATAAGCTTACAGCTGCTCAAATACTTCAGAAATCTGATCAGCCTCCCCTTCCCGCTCCCCCTCCTAAATGCTTCGTGAAATCTTTGCTAGGCAGAGAAAAAGGCCATGTCTCTTAGCTGCTCCTGCCCTGCCTGTCCCCATTCAATTGTGGGGATGCATTATAGTGGAGTGGTGGTGGTTATCCTTTTGAAGTCCTTACATATTCCACCCCACTGAATAGAAGTGAAAGGGGGAGGGATGGAGGAAAAAAAGGATGCTGGTGCTGGCCATGATGGAACATTATGGAAAGTCAAGCTTCTGAAGAGGAGCTTGCTTCCAACTGCACTATCTTCTAGGCAGTGAGACCAGCATCTTCACATTTTACAATAGAAGGGACGGCAGCTAATTTCAATGCATCATGTAACTCCCAAGAGGTGTCACTTTACCTGGATGCTTAAAGGCAACTTCCCTGTCTCTCTCGGATGGGGCTGACAACATGGAATCTCCCCCAGCAAAGAATGTGTGCAGGAGTGACAGACAGCTTGAGGAAACACCTGTTTCACTTGCCTCACCCAAGCCACAGTTATCTATCACTCAGCAGTTCAAAGCTGAACTGGCCAGGACAGAGCACCAAATTGCTGGCAGAGGCCGGGCTCCAGTCAAGTGCTGGCATCTCATCCAAACAGGTTGAAATTAGGTTTCAAAACTACCTGTGAGAAAGAAAGATGAGGTGGAAAGTCGCTGATGTGAGCAAAAATACTGCAGTAATAGCTGGTTGGGGAAGAGAGCGGGGGGGAACTGAGCTGCAAAAACACTTAAAACATGCTACTCTGAAAGCCTGTGGCTCCCTTGTCTCCCCCAACTCTCTCTTTTATTAACTTAGCTTCTTTTATGAGTACTTTAATAAAACGAACTCTTTTTTACCCTGTGCAAGGAAGATCCATAAATGCTCCTACGTTGAAAACAAAAACAAAAAGCAAAAAACTTACATTTCCCAGGATATCCGAAAGAAAGGAATGGGTAGGGGAGGGAAGAGCAATAAATGGTTACACTAAAGGCTCCTGTTATATGGAGTCATACATAAGGTGGGCACGAGGATGCCTTCTGAAAATCCAGCTGACGCCATGTGAAGGAAGGCATACTTTTTCAAGACTTGGGAGGAAGATAATCCTTTATGACTCCTCATTTAACTTCTTTATATCTAGTGATTTATCATCTAATCCCTGAGCTTTACTTGGGGTCACAAGAGTCCTCTTTTACTCTGTGTGTACAGTGAGGGCTGAAGGGTGAAAGGGAGCCTCATCTACAAGCCCAGGACATGTTCTGAACCGACTGGCCACCCGGAGGCCTTAAGACCCCTTGGGAGAGCAAGGAAAGATTTTTTTCTCTCTGACATCCCACATTGAATCCACCTGCAAATCCTGTTGGTTCTACTTTCAAGATACATTCAATCCACTTTTGGCATCTCCTCTGTTATCACCTTGTATATGGTCCAAACTGCCCTCATCTGTCACCTATATTACTACAATAACTTCTACCTGGTCTCCTTGCTCCCACCTTTGTCCCCACTTGTTCTGCATAAGACAGCCTAAGGTAGTGGGAGAGGTCCTCCACTCCACGCCACCACACCCGGCCTCCTTGTTTTCTTGATTATCCTGTTTAAACTTGCAATGACCCCCCACTGCCTTCACTATCCACATTCCCTACTTTATGTTTCTCTATAGCACTTATCATGGTCCCATACACTATATATTTTACTCATTCTATATCTGCCAACCTGTATGTTCCATCAGGGCAGGAGTTTTGTTTCTTTCATGCCTGCATCCTCAGTGTCTAAAACACTGCCTGGTACATAATAGGTGTTCAATAAATATTTGTTGAATGAATATTATGCTCATTCTGAGGCCAAAATTCTTTAAAATTGGGGATAAAGGCTGTGTCAGCATTGGAGCTGTTGTGCCAAACCCCTATTAACCTCAATAGGGAAGGTGTTAGGGTCAAGAGGCCAAAGAAAAGAACCAGGAACAGCAAGCAAGACATGAGGTTTTATTAATGGATTACATAGACAGGAGAGATTCCAGTGGTGGTGAGTTGGACAAGAGATTTGCCTTACATACAGAGACAGATCAGTGGCAGCAGCTGGACAAAATGTCTGCCTTACCGCCTTACCTACAGTCAACAAAGCCCAGTGGTGGTGGGCTAGGCAGGAAAACCCCAACCATTTGCAAAGAGCATGCAGTTTATATAGCATTTCACTTAATATCCTGCCCTTAACAACCTCCACCTGGCAATCTTCATCCAACCCAAAACTCAGGGCTTCAATCCTCTATACAGCCCATGTTCCACAGGATGGGCTGGGGTGTGTACGTAGGGATGGGGCTCAGATGTTCCTCATTGACAAGGAATGAATCTCCAGGTTGGCCACGCCCAAATTCCCTAGCTTGGAACACGAATTCAGGTGTATCTGCTATATAGGCTATGCTTAAATTATTGCTGTCAGGTGCATCTACTGTACGGGGCGCAACTTCCCAGTGGGCCACAGGACACGGCTCCTCCAGGGATGTGGGTGTGTAATGGTCAGAGCAGGATAGATTTGGAGAGCAAAGTCAGGAATGCCAGTCAACCGCAGGCCTAGACATTGAAAAACTGGTCTCTAAGTTTGAAAGGAGAATATATATATATATATATATATATATATATATATAAAACTATCAACCACAGCACAGTCATTGATGCTTACTTAGTGAGAGGGCAGCTCTCAGTGGTTAGGAAGAACCCCCCTCTCCTCCCCCTTAACCAGGTGGCCTCATTCTGGAACAAAAGGCATCCAAACATAAAGAAACAGCACTGCCACTCTGCCTTCTCAGCTCTTATCTTTACTGCTCTGTTCTTGTCATCATATTGGTCCTTAGAGTAGGCCACGCCAAGTGCAATCAGGGTGGAATTAGTTGCTACAGGATATCTGTAGCAACTTCACAGAAGTTCCTCAGAAGGAGATTTCATGGCACAAATTCCCAGTGGCTGAAGTGGAAGAGCTCAGCAGTCAAGGGCTTTGTATTAATTACCCTGCCCTGGCTTCCTTCCCTTAATGCTCAGGTGGCCTGGTTAAAATGAATCCCATCCTCATTCTTCCATTTAAGCCCAATGATAGTCATAGTTCTAGCAAGGAGGGTGCAGTAGGGACGTCCACACCCTGAACCTGCCCTGGATTAGGACAATACACTGGCTCCTCTCTGCTATTCTTAGAATTGGAATCAAAGTGTGGAATTGTCCACTCTCTTTCCATGTCAACACAAGACCTCAATCTCTGATCCAGCCTGACTTTCAGAAGTCCACAGTAGACACAGGAGTGATATGGAACTGACCCTTCAGGGCAGGGTTTAAAACTAAGTGTTATCTCAAAAACAGTGTCCAGGGTTAGGTATGGCAACCGAAGAGAAGCTCCAGCTGTAAATGGTCTGGAGGTGACAACTGGGTAAAAGAAATCCCATAGCAAACAGCAAGCAGGTTTCGAAGGGAGGGAAGGCAGAAACCTAGACCCTGGGTTTTAGAGGCCTCTGCATCCCTCTGTTTTGGAGAGTTGGGGTTCAGGACCTGTTAAAGCAACTTAGAGTCTTCAGACAGGAATAGACAACTCTTGGTTAAGTTCAGGACAGATTCAATGGGAGAGATAGAATTTTCATTACTTTAAAAACAGGCAAAAGAGTAAGTGTCTGTAAATCTAACTCAGCCAGAATCTATCTCAATATCCTTTTTTATTTTTTAAAGGTAGACAAATTTATTATATTTGGAGCATAACCAACTTGTTTCTTATTCTTAGCTCTGCCTCCCTGCCAGGCCAGACATACTCACGGACACCAAAGCCATGGGCACCAGCCCTGATTGTAGTGGATATGAGTTATGAGTTAGAATGAATGCATTTGGAGACTGGAGCTAACAGAATTTGTAAACTATGCAAATCATTTCTTATCCTTCTTACTTTAAAAAAGGACTATTCTGCTACTCTCAGCAGATTTCAGCCTATTCACTGAGTACTTCAGAGTTTACAAAATACTCTCATATACATCATCTCATCTTGTCCCTGTCCCTGCAGGAAGCAATGGGGTGAAAAAAAAGGGGGGGATTACTTCAGATCAGTCTCAAAACATCAAAACATGACTTAGCTGGTCCTAGTCCCACTCTGTCATGGTTTGGTTTTTAGCTCAAATAAACACATTCACTGATTTACAAAACTAGGTAATAAAACATTCATCCCTACCTTCTTTTTTTTTTTTTTGAGACAGTCTTGCTCGGTCGCCCAGGCTGAAGTGCAGTGGTGTGATCTCAGCTCACCGCAACTTCTACCCCTCAGGTTCAAGCGAAACTCCTGCCTTAGCCTCCTGAGTAGCTGGGATTACAGGCACCTGCCACCACACCCAGCTTTTTTTTTTTTTTTTGTATTTTTAGTAGAGACAGGGTTTTGCCATGTTGGCTGGGCTGGTCTCTAACTCCTGACCTCAGGTGATCCACCTTATTGGCTTCCCAAAGTGCCGGGATTACAGGCATGAGCCACCGCACCTGGCTGATTCATCCCAGCCTTCTGACCATAGGATAGAACTCTTTCTTAACTAGCGGATTCCTGGGGGCAGGAGGTGGGAAGAGAGTGTGACAAGTACAGCCTGTTCTCTCCTGAAAACTCAATTTGTCTTCTTTTCCCCTCCCTGTGAACTCTTAGTTGATACTGAGCCCGTACTGGTATATTCTTATCTTTCCCTTTTACGCATCAGATAGAAGCTAATGAAGGGTTCTTCTGATTGAATTTTGTGCTTATAGTTCCCCAGGTGAGATTATAAGAAAGGAAAAATATGGGGAGGTTGAACTAATACAACCTCAGGTGCATGTAGCACAATTTGATGGGATCTTAAAGGCCTTTCAGACTTTTAGTCTACAATCCCAAAGTGGTCTCTCTAATTCCTACCCCCTCCTTCTTTCTTGCCCCACACCAAGACTTCCTATAACCCTCCCCACTCACTGCCACACCTAACAGGAGGAAGTGACTCAAATCTCCCCAGGACCCCCAGCTTGTAGGCACCGATGTGGCATCTCCTTTCCTAAGGTCCTCTCCAGGTTTATCGGGCAGACACAGGCTTCCTAACAGCTCTAGCCACCACACAGTCGCCTCAGCACTCCACCTTTCCTGCACCAGTGACCGTTGTCAAGGTCCTCAGCGCAGAAATCAACTAGGAAGGCTGCCTCTCTGTGAGGTGCGGGCACACATGGTGGAACACCAGCATCTGTGCCAGAGCCTGTCTCCCCGGAGGGAGGTTAAGGTCTGCAGCAGTCAGGAGTCTGCCTCCCATTTACTGCCATTCTTTCTTAGCTGAAGGTGCTGAGTGCTTCTTGTCCTTCCCATGATTCTCAGAGCCCCTTTTAAATCATCTCTCTGAACTCGAGCATAGTCCATGGGACTGGGTGGAGGAAAAACACTACACACCACTACTAGATTGCCCATGTCCCTTAACTCCAACCCCTGGTTCTAAAACAGCTTTCTTCTTACTGGCCTCCTCCTTTCTCATCAAATCACTCATAGAAACAGCTGCCTGAGGAGCTGCCAGCTCCACACACCCATCAGGGTGACAGCTTGCTGCCAGGCATTCTCAGAGGTTCCAGCAGTGGCTCACACCCTTCAAACTGCAAAGTGTTCTTTCCTCTCTCAGATGATCGACAGGTCTGATAAACACTTGGTTCAGTTAGGTGACTGAAAAAGAGGGCTCCAGATGAGCAGAACCTCCTCACCCCTATACCTCACCGATGGGTCATAAAGCAATGGACTTTCAGATATTAGCAACAGATCTCGCTCACCTGTGGTTTTCAGAGCTTTGGTTAATAACCTGAGTTACCCTGGCCTCCAGGCTTGTCTCTTTCCCCAAGAATCGACCCAGGGCTACTTAAGGCAGAGAGATCCATTTCCTGGAATGAGCTGCTCTGAACCAAGACAAGTTCATGGTCTCTGAGTCCTCATTTGTGGCCTGCTGTCTTGATAACAGCTCTCTTGTCAGTCCTCCATAAGCTCTGGTCCAGCCTCCCCGTTGCAGGACATTTTTTCATCTTCAGAAGATTCTGAGACTTTAGGAATGAATCATTGCTGGTATGCAAAGTTACATAAGAAAAGCTAGGGACAAACTAGGCAAGTAAAGAATTCTAGTTTTTCCAAAATGGAAATTTTAGAAAAATATAAAAAATAATCTTATCAAAGCATGTGCTTCCTCTGGCAAAGCATACCTCTCCTATCCACAAGGAGCCTTGGGTGCAGGGGAAGATGAAATAATGATATTGCTCATTAGAGACAAAGAGGAAACTAGATGGGTCTACAGGGAGGGCTCCTTCCTAGTGTTCCTTCAGAGAGGGATGCTTTCCTACTCTGTTGTGGCTTATCATGTAGATTCATTCTTGCATAGAAAGCAAATAAGAGAATTGAATGCCATCATTTCTGTGAGGAAGAAAAAAGAAATCAACATATCAACTGTTGTCCTATTTGCATCCCTTCCTTCTGCTTCCTTATAAAATTAGCAGCAAAATGACATTCCTTATTCCTCCATGCAAGTCGTACAACTGACAGCCTTAGCATCCCAAATAAAGCTCCTCTCCTTAAGTCCAATATTGAAGTCACTTAAGAACTCTCTGCCCTTGATTTTGATCCTTTCTCCTGTCAAAGTGAGGGTGACATTAACAAGTGTGCACAGGAGGGGGCTTTGTGCCAATTAACAGTTTCTCATTAGCTTAATTAGGGGACACATGTTTTTAATCACAGCTAAGAAAGTGGAATGATTGAAGAATTGATTCTGAGCTTTTGAAAGCATCCCTGTCAGTGCATGGAATTTAATTCTGCAGATGTTGCTTTAAAAGAGACAGTGGTAGAAAGAAATAGCTTTAAATGACATGGCCTCACTGAGCATAATAAGAGAATAGGAATCTGAACCAGATAAACAGAGTGTTTCCACTTCGGATCTAAGACAATCTTTTTCAGGCTATCTGCAGAATCGAGGGTCTTGCCCTCTTTGTTATATTATGTGAGATAGCCAAGTGGGACAATTTTCTTTTCTTTTCCACTAACCCTTTATCCCTAGATTCCGAGTAAACAGACCTGATGGTTGTAGAGATGTTCAGATAATGTGGATAGTTTAGATGCAGATTTCGGGGGGTTGCTGATGGTTGTTCTAGCTGAAACGGCTGTTAAATTTGGACTTCATGGAGTATTTGAGAAGTCTAAATTTGTGAGACCTGTTTACATCAGGAAATGGTTTGATTTATGGTCTTGCATGCTTGTAACCTGAAGCTGGGTAACTGTCACAGTCCGTATATAACCCAAAGGGCCACTCATTCAGATCATGCAAATCTAAAGGTGATTGTTAAGCACTAAAAATTACATTGATTTAAATGTCTATATTGTTTTGGGCTCTACACAATACAGCAAGGCCATGACCCATTCCATTTAAAACCTTAGTAGGCTAATGTTTCACTAATTATGAGATTTTAATACAGTATGCACACAGATTTGTTCTTTGTAGAATGCAATCTTTACTGATATATCCCTTTTGCAATTTATCTTTTATTTTTCTTGATTGCAAAAAGCAATAAACTTTAATTGCAAAAAACTGAAAAATACTGTAAAACACAAAGAAGAAAAAAGTAGTACATAATTCCACCTACGCAGATATAATCACTATTTATATTTTAATGTATAGGCTTTTTTACTATGTAAATTTCCTTTTTTTTTTTTTTTGAGAGAGAGGGTATGCACCGTGTTGCCCAGGCTGGAATACAGTGGCACCATCATGGCTCACTGCAGCCTCAACCTCCTGGGCTCAGGTGATCCTCCCACCTCAGCCTCCTGGGTAGCTGGGACTACAGGCATGTGCCACCACACCTGGCTAATTTTTTGTATTTTTTTGTAGAGACAGGGTTTCACCATGTTGCCGAGGCTGGCCTCAATCTCCTGAGCTCAAGAGATCTGTCTGCCTTGGCCCCAAAGTGCTAAGATTACAGGCATGAGCCACCAGGCCCGGCCACACTATGCATATTTTCTAATAAAATGGGATGATACTGTATTTCTGGTTTTACAACAGCTGTTTTACTTACTATATCATTATGACCTCCCCAGATCATTAAATATTCTTGTACAACATAATTGTTAATGACTGCGTAGTATTCTGGCTCATGAATTTGTCATATTTATTATAGAACATTACAAATATTCCCATTTTTGGTATTATAAGCAATGATGAAGTGGTCATGCTTGAATATAAATCTTTTCAAGCATCCTTGATCATCTCCTTTGAATAAATTTCTAGAGGTGAAATTGCAGAGTCAGAGATTATGTACATTTTTAAGACATTTAAACATATTGTCAAGTTTCTCTCCAGAAGTTATAATCTACCAGTTTATATTCCCATAACTAACAATATAGGATAGTGATCTTTTTTACTAAAGTAAAAACAATAAATAAGTATAATCTCTAAAAGTAAAGTAAAAAAATTATATCATTATTTTTATTACAATTTTGACTACCAGTGAAATCAGATATTATCTCTTATAAGTTATAAGTTATATTTCTTTTTGTGCATTGTCAAATCATGTATTTCTCTCATTTTGCTCCTGGGATATTCACCTTTTGTTTTTATTATTATTTTTATTTTACCTGGGTTCCAGAAAAGGAAGAATCACCTCTTTATTTTGGTTCATTTGTGAGAGTTGTCATATATGAAACCATTGTCACATGTATTTAAAAATATATCTTGTTCCTAGCTTGGTACTTGCTTTTTTTCCCCCTCTAATTATGCATTTTG